>NC_000012.12:72611643-72763158 GCF_000001405.40 Homo sapiens
GTAAAGAAGAGAGGGAAAAATCTAGATCTTGGGAAAAGAGTGCTGTGTGAAATTGTCTAGGTTGTGGCATATTGGTTTTCTCCTTTGACTGTGTAAGAGTTCTTTCACTTTAACTTCTTATGATGGTCATGCCAGTAAGAGATAAAAAGGAGAGAAAATTTACCTCTTAATAGAATGATGTTTATGATTACAGGTGAAATAAGGCATTTTAAAAATCAGTATAAAGGCAACCTTAAGCTTATACAATATCTTCTCTATCGTGAATACTGACATCTTTTCTTCACTCACTATTAATAACAAATGCATTTTCTGATAGACAAAAGAGAAAAACAATCCGAAGCCCTTATTATTTCAGGCTTTTCATGCTCTGGTTACCACTGACCTCCACAACTTTATACCCTAACCTTTTTCCTCAGCTAACTCCACTGCAGCTACAAAGGCCCTCTGTTATTCCTTCAACATCCCAGTCTGTTCCTATCTCAAAACCTTTGAATTTGCTGTTTCCTCAGTCAGTATTCTCCTCCCACCAAACTTGTTGCTTCCTCAGTCAGAATTCTTCTCCCTCTAGAATCTGTCAACCTGTTCTCTTACTTCATGCAGGTGACACCTTCCCTAACCACCCTGTTTAAACCACTCCCTTCTAATTCTTCTTTCCCTAACCCTGCTTGCTTTCCCTTCATAGCATCTGGGATCACATTATGTATGTATATGTGTATTAAGTCTAATGTGATAAATTCCATGAAAGTCACGTGCAAGCCAGATGTGAATGGAAGGAAGGAAGAAAGCACTTAACCCTAATTCAGAGAGGTATTTTGAGAGGTTGCCTCATGGGGTAGAACCAGCAGGAGCTTGCTTGTCAGTCCTGGCTTTGAATTCTAGCCCTGCTACTCATTAGCCATGTGAGCTTGGCAAGCGGCTTATTTTCTGTAAACTTTAGCTTCTTTCTCTCAAAATAATGGGCATAATAGTACTGATATTGATGCTTAGTATAAGTATTCTAAAGGATAGTAGACTGAAATAAATTTAGACCGTCTTTTCATAACATCATAACTGGTATACATTAAGTCCTCAATACATGATAGCTTGAAATTATTAAGTTGATAGTTTTCTAAAAAGTAGTTGACTTGGGCCATAAAACTAAGGTTTTTTTCTCTTTTTGACCAAATAACTGACATCTATTAATTCTCGCAATTAATGGTCAGACATTGACCCTATTTCTCTACACTATTAAGTACCCAGTGGACTCTATTTTAAGATGATAGTTGATTTCTTATGAAATTATCTTTGGAAATACAGAAGTTAGCATGTGTAGAGAAGAAATGCTGGATGCAATGATGGTGGTAGTGAGACTATATAAATTGCAAAATAAATGTTTCCTGGATGTCTTATTTTTAATTTTTAAATGTTTACTGAAGAAGGAACTCTAGAAATCATGTCGTTTACCCTTGCCAATTTTCTGACTAGGAGAAAGGGATTTCTAAGCCTTCCATCAATCTATTTAAATGACTAGCATAAATAACACTATTGCTTCTAGGAAAGTAATTTGCTAATCAGAGAAAAATAAAGTAGAGCTGTTTGTATAATGCCTCTACATGCTCACTGGCTGTAAAGCTATTTTATTTTGGTATAGACTGGCTAATTTAAAGCTGTTGTCTAGATAGCAGTGGCCTTCTTATCTTCTATATGTGTTATCATTAATAAAATAGATGAGCAAAAATACAAATGTCACTCTAATAAAATTTTCTCATTCTGCTATTTTTTAACCTTCAAAAAATGCTTAATTTAAAAAAATGGTTATGTTTAAGTTTTATAGTATCTTTGGCAAGTGCTCCTGTTTTCAAAAGCTATGACATTATTGCCATAATTTAATTTGGTTTAAGGAATATTTATTGAGTGCCTATTTTGTGCTAGGTTCTGCATTAGTCTGTGGGGATAAAAAGATGGGTGGAGCATATTTCATTTTCTGAAGGAGTTAAGGCCAGTGAGTTAGATAATGCTATGAGAAAATCATGACTAATGTCTTGATAATTATTACGAATAGAGGTGTTTTCAAAGTGTTAGTTGAACCCAGAAAATAGGTGCCTAAGTCAAGTTTGGGATCAGGCTTTCTGGAAGAGAAGGAGCAGAAGGAGGAGGGGCTGTCTGAGATCTTTTCTCTGTGCACCTTTTCACATTACTAATTGTGTTAGGCCATTCTTGTAATGCCATAAAGAAATATGTGAGACTGTGTAATTTATAAGAAAAGAGGTTTAATTGGCTCACAATTTTGCAGGATGTAAAGGAACAATAGTGCTGGTGTCAGTCTGGGGAGGCCTCAGGAAACTTTTACTCATGGTTGAAAGCGAAGTAGGAGCAGACATATCACCCGGCAAAAGTAGGAGCAAGAGAGAGTGAGTCAGGGGGAGGTGTCATACACTTTTAAATGACCAGATCTCATGAGAACTCAGCATCAGGAAGATAGCATCAATCCACAAAGGGGGTTCTGCCCTCATGATCCAAACACCTCCCACCAGGCCCCACCTCCAGCATTGGGAATTGCAATTCAACATGAGAATTGGGCAGGGAAAAAAATTCATACTATATCACTAATTTTATGGGGCTACAAATCAGTAACTTCCTTTTACATCTCTTCAGACAATTAAGCAATGGCTGGATTATATATACATATGTATATATATATATATATATTTTTTTTTTCTCTAGAAACTGATCAAATTAGCTGTTGGTTGACAGAGAGACTTCCCTGTGTTTTTTCCCTTTTATTCTATGGTACATCAAGGACTATTGGGATTTCCAATCTGTACCGTAAAAGATTTTCCCACAAAGAGCATATAAAGTCTTTTAATAATGAAGAATAACAGATAAAACCTAATAAACTTTTTAATTAAGCATTTCAGCAAGTGCTTTAAAAATCTGTGCCCTAAGGGACAGTGACAGTATCTTCAGCATATATTATTAAATATGTAGGAGACTATTTTTTGGCTTTAAATGAATATTCAGTTAATAAAGAGTAGAGTATGATGCTCCAAAGAATCTGAGAATTGTGTTTTATTTTTATTTCTCTAAAAGTTTCAACCCCAGAAATCAATTGCCTTTAAAGAAAACTCACAGTTAAATAGGTTATTTTTCTATACACGCTACCCATCTCAGTAAGATTCAAGAGTTAACATTCACAGGAATTCAGAATGGTTTTTAAAAAGCAATTTGGGATCTTAGGTGGAAACAAAGCCAGTTAAGGTCAGAGCATTTCAACATCAGCTAACATAGTCTGGTTTTAATTTCCTTCTTATAAAATACATTATATCTTGTGCACCTAAAGATATATTTTATTTCAAGCTCTTATAAATTGGAGAAGGAGGAGGGAAGGGAGGGAAGGATATATGTGTGCATGCAGCAAGGGATGGGAGGAGCAGCTGTCTAGCTGCATATGGACAATCTTTTATTTATTTTTGTAACATTCCTCATTTGCCTCTTTCTCATTGTTTTTTCTTTGATTCCCAAATCATCTCTTATGCTCATCCTCACTCCAATAGTAGGGAAGAAAGGTATAACCTACAACCTCTTCCTAAAATATTGATAGGACACAATTATATATTAAACACATACAATATGTTGTTCTTTAAATTTGCTATTTTTAATTTTTGTTAGCAATATTTCCCTGTGGTGATGCAAATTTAGGGAAACTGCATTTCAGCTTCAGAACCCTAAGTGCGCTTCCTACTGGGCTGATTACAGTGAGCTAATGTAGTGTTTCATTCACTGGATTCCACATACTTTCCTATATTGATTGCATTATCAGTAGTAGTAATCACAGATATCATTACCAGCCAATTACACAAACACACATCTGAGCTAGGTAACCGATACACCAACATTGTCTCCTACAATTCTTAATTTTGTAATGAAACTGATCATCCTCTTGTCCAATTAAGTGTACCTACATATTGTGATGTCGTAGGCTTAAATGCAAGTATATTAAATTATGTGGTTGGTAATTACATATGTTGGTATCACAGCAGAAGGAGGGCAATTTGAGTATAATCTGTTTCTTACTCTATTCGAGGTCTGCATTAAAGAAGCTTAACTGCTGTTAAAAAATATTGACCCCAAAACACATTTGGATAAGATACAATGGAAATTATTTCTGCTCACATAACATGAGTGTGTGTGAGAATTGACATGGTCATGCAGTCATCCAGGGACCCAGGCAGGTTTTCGATATATTCAATACAAGACTGCCAAGGTCACCTGGAAGTTTCACTTAAGGAAAACGAACATAAAATAGCTAATGGGAGATGTCTAAGGATAACCCAGGCAGAGAGGCACATTCATATTCTATTGGCTAGATCTCAGTCTCATGACCACACCTAAGTACCAGGAGAACTGGGAAGTATAGTTCATTCAAAGAAGAAGAGAAGAGCATGGATTTTGGTGAGCAGTTAGCGATTTCTGCCAAAAGGACTCAAAACAGAACTTGCTCCATTTCTCTGTTTAATGAATGCTTTTAATTACTTGCCTTGCCATTATTTAGAACTTTTATCAGGTTTGCTTTGCTTTTATTTTTTTCACACAATGCCAGAAGTCTTATAAAACCTAGATCCATGTCCTGCCTCCTAGACTTGTACATATTAAGCGACTAAAGAATGGAGAATATAAAATTACAAAGTATTTTTCAAATTTTTAAATAAATTGTAATAAATTATTACAATTATTTTTCAGTAGATTAAATTGTAGATATATAGGTTAGATTAAAAGCTTTTCTGGACTATAATGGGTGTCTGTCTCTTAGTTCCATCCTTTTATTTTATAGACACAGAATGTGAGGGCTGGAGAGATAAATTATTTGCCTAATTGGACGAGTGTGGTAGTAGTCGATCCAGGCTAGTTTCTTTCCGTAACATTATTTGTCATCGTTTTTATTTGCAGGCAAATTCCCTACAAAGTATGAGTCATTAAATAATGTCTATCCAATTTTAGAGATGAAATAAAACACAATAAATTATAATTGACATAAAGCTATCATGTCCAAATTTATGGGAAACGAGATTCAAGCAACTTTCCAAAGTTATTTGAAGTTTTGTAATAAGTTAGCCACTTACTTACTAAAAGTTTTTTTAAAAATACATTACTTTTCTTATTTAACAAAATAATAATGTCTTCTAAATAAATCTTCAACATTATACAATTTGTGGCATGTATAAAGAGAAGGTGAATATATAATCACCACACTAATTAATATTTAGAATTAAAAGTTCCAGAGAGACAAATTACAAAATCTGAACTACTGAAATCCATATTTCTTTTAAGGACATAATCTAAAACATTATTTTAATAAAAAATTGTATTACTTTTTCAGGGAGCAACAAACCTATGAAATCAAAATTTCACTTATTATTGGGATGTTGTACTAGCTAAAATACAGTGGCTTATTTAATTATTGTTGCCATAGCCTAAATTTCATGCTATTTCTACAAAAATGTATAAAATGGAATTTGCACAGGAAAAGTGGCACAAATCTAGATACACTCTAAATCATAAATTTTCAGATTTTTAAATTATGTGAAATCTGAAGTTTGCTCACTATTTATGTGAAATATGAACCTGTGGTTGATCTTGTACTATGGTTGAATCAAAATCGTTAGAGTGTCACACATTCTTTTGTTTTAATTAAAAGAAAACTGCAGCACCCTCTTCAGAATTGGTTTTTATTATGGACATTATAAGCACAGGTATAAACTAATATTCATCTGTAGGGTAATGTTTGCATATGACATTGAATTAAGACTAAATGGAAAAATTATTTTAACGAAGATGAAAAAGTCTCCGTTTCCTCCCTGTCCACTTTCCACCATGCACAAATACAAAGGTCCATCTAATTTTGTTATGTTACAAAAGAACAGTGTGAAATATAGATAAGCAGGACAACCAGGCTTTGTAGCTTTCGTGGTTCCCTCTTCCCTATGTTAACAGTCTGCATTCAGTTGATTTGTCGTAGTCTGTTTGGGCTGTTATAACAAAATACCTTACACTGGGTAATTTGGGAACAATAGAAATTTTCGTTCATGTTTCTGGAGGCCGGGGAGTCCAAGATCAAGTTCCAGCAGATGAGAGCTTGGTCTGCTTCAAAGATTGTGCCTTCTTGCTGCACATGCAGTGAAAAGCAGAGTCAAGAAGATGCACTGGAACCTCTTTAATAAGGGCACTAATCCCATTTGTGAAAGTAGAGCCCTCATGACCTAATCACTACCAAAGGCCCTACCTCTGAATAGAGTCACAATGGATATTAGGTTCCAACACATAAATTTTAGTGAGATATCAACATTCAAACCATAGCAAATATCAATGCTGAAAAATTCCACCAAAATACATAGTGTCACTATATGCCGCAAAGACATCAAGGCTAAGACCATCTTTTAATGTATTGTGGACTGTCATTTATATTGCTTTGATTTTGCAAGAATATTATATACAGTCTATTGGAAAAAAGAGATATATAGTTCTTTTTGGCTCCTTTTCTTGATATGGCCTCTTAAACTATAGACAATATGTGTTAAGATAATTTTTAAAAGGTACAATTTAGTATTTTCTAAGGAAACTGATATTGGTTCTCAAGGTGACACATTTTATTTTGAAAGGAAAATAATAGAAAAAAAGAGTTATTCTTTTAACATTTTTGTAATTTGGACTTTATTAAAACCTAACTCAGATTTTTATCGGTGTTATGGAAAGCAACTTTAAAAAAAGGTTTGAAAAACATGCTAATATTGTAATCTAACAAACACTCAGAACTACAAATTGACACTTTAATTTGTTGATCTTTTAAAGAACAATGTGTATTAAATATCATTACCCTGAGCTAAATGACAAGTAAAGACAATACATGGAGAAACTGAAATTACATTTCAGTGATCAATTATTTTCAATTGCTTGTTAACCTCTGAAGAGTTTCTGTGAAGGAACATACCTAGGCTCGGTTTTGCTTATGTTCCATAATTCCTTACTTTTAAAAAAATATGCGTTCTGATGTTTTTGTATTCGTAAATTTTTAACTGTCCAACTCTGCATATATTAAGGTGGCACTGGCATCCTAAGTATGACTATATTTTAAAAGTGAGTAATTTTATTCTTATAACACTGAATATGCTTTCTTTATACTATGATGAATTTTGCTTTTCCGTCTTTTATTTGCGTAAGTAAAAATCTTCGTTTGTGCATCATCATGTATCTTTTTTTTTTTTTAACTGTAGGGCTGGCTATTTGCCTCAGAATATTCCTCTGGAGATTATCAGATACCTGTCTGAGGAGAAGGATTTTCTTCCTTGGCATGCTGCCAGCCGAGCTCTTTATCCTCTAGATAAATTACTGGACCGCATGGAAAACTACAACATTTTCAATGTAAAAAGATATAATTTTTCTTTCTAATTTTTAGAAGATACACTATTTTATTCTCTTTCTACTATTATATATGCAACTGATGCCAAGTTATTTTAGTTTGTTCTTCTAGTTTGTGTTATCCCGATTTTTGTCCTGATTGTCTATGCAACACAGATGACAATTATTTGAAGAAGAAATTTAATACAAAATGCTGACCTAAAAGTGTCAATTAAGCTTAAATGCTTCAGAATTTAAGAAGAAATATACATGGCAAATTTTTAAAGTTCAAACTTACTTTCCAAGAGTTAGAGGGCTCTGTGTTCACAAAGGACTTAACCTGGGTAGAAAGATCCCAAAGATCTTAACAGAATATAGGCATTTTCAGTAATGATTCTTAGTCATTATTTTTATCCAAAAGGGCATACTGAATTCAATTCACTGCCTTAATTAACAAGGATAAGATCAACATTGAGGCAAAAGCCCATTCGTAATTGGGTCCAAGGGGATACAGGAAAGCAAACAACAGACAATCCAAAGAGACAAGAAGACATGACAAACATTCCAAAATGTTACCTGACCAGATTTTCTGAACTCAAAACCTAGTAAACCAAAATTACACTGCTCATGCCACCTAATCTGATTTAATAATCATTTTCAATAATATTAGGATTAAGTACTGCTCATGAGCCTTTTGATTCTTAAATTTCTTATCACTGTGCCTTCCATGATGTTTGAACACTATTTGTTTTCCTTTAGTTAGCGTAAGAGCCTGCCCTGTGTTTTATAAAATTATCTTATTTTTTATACTGTACTAATTAACATACACATTTGGGATTACTGAAAAGTGGATTCCTGTGACATGAATCTTTTTATTGGAGCCATCTGATTTCTGATGCCCATCAGAATTCCTTCCTTTTTATTTTTACTTTAAACCTACAGAAAATAAACTGTTTAATGATTTTTTTTAAAAAATGGGAATAATTACGTTCATTGTTAGTTTTGTCTAAGCCCTTAGAACAGACATGCAAACAAATGGGTCATTACAGTTATGATACAATTTTTTACTTGCTAGAGAAAGATTACACATTAATTTCTCCCTAACACAAAGACACTGCAATATTAAACCTTTGTAAAAGTAAAATATATTTTTGAATATATTTGTACATTAGAATAGCGTATCATGTCAGATTCCTTGTTTTCAGTAAACAGTTAAGAATCATTTTTATTGTAATTTCATTGTTTGTATTCCTTGGCAAAATTCAAGAAGCACATTAAAGTGAGGGAGAGCCAACCTGGGCAACATGGTGAAACCCATCTCTACAAAAAAAAAAAAAAAAAAAAAAAGAAATACAAAAATTAACTGGGTGTAGTGGCTTGTGCCTGTATTCCCAGCTGCTCATGAGGCTGAGGTGGGAGGATGGCTTGAATCTGAGAGGCGGAGGATGCAGTGAGCCGTGGTTGTTGCCACTGTACTCCAGCCTGAGCAACAGAGTGGAGACCCTGTCTAAAAAAACAAAAAATAGTGAGGGAGAGCATGCCTTACCTTGATACTGACACTTAAATGTGTCATTAGCTGAATGAATTGTTGACTTTGAAATATCATTATAATTACACTGAAGAGTTCTGTGTATCTCAGCTTCATCAATACTAGGCCATTGGTTGGGCCAACATAGTAGTTTTGCATTAAATATGCCTTGTTGATATAAAATGCGTAAATATTAGATGTCCATTTTCATATAGTATATCTATATACATTTGTACATATGTACGCATAGGTGTTATCAATATTCTTTGTTTTCCTCATTTTGTTACAAAAGTCATCATCTAAAATATTTACTCATGCAAATTACTTAGTGATTTAATAGGAAGAGTAGACTTGTACCATTCCAATAGCATTTTATCCCTCTTTTCTATATATGAAATACTAAATTAAATAAAATTATAATAGAACATTACTGTACTTATAATTTTATGGATATTTGAAAGTAGGTACATTTTAAGAATATTTTAATTTTATTACAGAATTTTAATTGTCAGCATACAGAAGTTTTAAACTGACCTTATCTTTATTTATTCTATACCCCATTTAGGAATATATTTTAAAGCAAGTTGCAACAACATATATCAAGCTTGGGTGGCCGAAAAATAATTTTAATGGATCTCTTGTTCAAGCATCCTACCAACATGAGTACTGTTTTATTTTCTTATCCTCTTCTTTACCCCTAGAGCTGTATAATAATGTACTACTAGTGCCATTGTGACTTTAGCTGCATGAGACAATCTTCCTTTCATTCTTCATCTTACATTTCACTTTCCCGAGAGGACTGCTGCTGGGTAGCACAGTTTCCATTGCCTGATCCTGAGAACAAAGACGTTTCCTTGCTGTGTTTTAATTTAAGATCTACCTTTATTGGTGATATTGAGATCAGAACCCATGCCTCTCACTGGAGTACTGTTAAACTTTTAGTATGTTTAACTTCCACTCTGCCTAAGTGACTTTTACTCAGCAGCATAGGATTTCCAGATCTAAAAACCATTTTTATGTTAATAATTTACTTATCTACTATTTAGGGAATGAATTTCCCTAACTTTCTTTTTAATTTGTTTCCCTTTTGATGATATCTAGAGAACTACGTAGAGAAGTTATAATGCTGGCCTGCAGTTTTGGCAACAAGCACTGTCACCAACAGGCATCAACACTTATTTCAGATTGGATTTCCAGCAACAGGAACAGGTAAACTGAGCCAAATCCTGTATTTCTGATATTATTTAATAGTGCTTTCAGAGTCTCAGTGGATGCATTTCATTTACCAACTGGAGAAAAACAAGATAAGGAAAAACAAAAGCATGCAGCAACATTTTGTGTCAGGTTCACAGCTTCCAAGGCAATAGTGTGAAAGTCACAATACAGGTATCTTTGAAATGTTTCATTGACTTTATGCTAACTTTATTAATTTAGGTCTTTATTTTTAAATATATTTAAGTTGTCACCTTATTTCAAGTTTTGAAAGCTCTGCTATCTCATAAGAACAAAATAATGAAATTCAATCCAGACTCTTTCAGGTTCTTTATAAAGGTTGTGGTATTTATTCGTAGAACAATTACCAGCATATGTCATAAACAAAGTAGCATAACAAATGTTAATATTAAAAACTAAAAATAAAAGGTTATGAAAAAAAGATCTTTCCTTTTTCAGTGACCCTTGACAATGACCTTAAACTTGTATCTTATCTTAGAATTTTGCAATATAGTATTTTAATATATGAGGTTAAAATTGTTTAATTAAATTACTTTTAAGGAAAAAAATACTGTGCTAAATGTCACTTGTTAATGAAAGGAATACTAAACATAAAAATAATCGAAGATTATTGGTATTATGCCTACAGTATTTTAAGCCTTCTTAAGGTACCTTTATATTTTCAAGGGTATTAATGTACCATTTCTTTTTACACTTTGGACAACTGATATCCCTTCCTCTCCAGTTTTTGGCCCCCATAACTAGAGTCTTTCCTCCTAGGAAGGAAGAGAAGCTAGGGCTTGATTTGTACAGATGATGCCATTTTATGTGCAACAGCGGGGTTGTTCCTGATATGCATGTGAGGGATGATCCCATGAGCAACAAAGAAAGACACTTGTACTGGTTAAACTTAGAGAACCGCAGTCAGTATAACCTACTTAGGAATGAATTGGTATTTGTCTTGTTAAGAGCTGTTTAGGTTTAGATTTAATATCTAACTGACTAGATCAAAGAGTAACTATTCTGTTCGAAAGGTCTCTGTAGGAATCTTTCACTACATTATTTAGTAACTCATAATACCTCACCTTCCTGTAGCATTTCCTGCTTGCCCTCTAAATTAATTGTTTCTGGTCTTATACAAGCTAAAAAGGAAAATATTTTATCAGTATCATCTACCAATTGATCTATCATATATTTGAAGACAGTGATCCAATATTTCATCTGTCTTCTCTAGAACCAAACTGTACCCATTTTTAAAATTTTCAAGATTTTTTGCTAAGTCTTCTGGGAACTATTTCATTAGACCTGAAAATGTTATACAAACTTTTTTGCTATTTTTACCACCTCCTTCAATTCTACCACGTTTAATCAGACCATGGAAGTAAACATTTATCCAACATAAATACAGCCAAAATTTTATTAAAATCCATATCATATATACATATAAAAAAGATGAAACATATTATGGAGAAAGTATAGTGTCTTCTCTCTTCCCTTTTGTTTTTGTGTGTTTTGTTTGTTTTTGTTTTATCTTGCTATCAACATGTGCCCTTTTTCAGAGCTGATTATTGTTTTAACACTTTAATGGGTCTACTCACATAAACATGTTTTTCTACCATGTTATTAAAATTGGACTCACACCATTGCATCACCATAATTTCTCTAGAAAGCATTCAAGCCTAATATCACTGTCTAAATTTTAGAAATATAGCTGTTGGGGAAAATGCTATTTTAAAAATAGTTCATTTATTTAAGAATACTTTTTGAATAATTCTCAGTACCATCTGGTAGCTGGAAATCAAAGAAGTGGATCTTAACATTCATAGAGGAACTGTTTTTTAAACAGTTTTATTTTCAAGTAAGAACTAAGTACAAGATAGAGTGTGAACACAAAGAAAGGAAACATTACTATCTTGGAGGGATCTCATTCTGATTCATGAAGGATAAGTAAGATTTAAGTGGATAGGGGCAGGACTGAAGGCAGTGGTAGGTATCTATCTATGAATATGTAAGGTGGGTAGATGGGAATTGCAGACAGAAGAAAGCCACATGCATTGCTGTTTAATTTAATAATTGCGGTCACGTTTGACTTGTAAACTTGAACAATTCATCAGCTCATTTTGGTTTTGGTAACTCTGCCACTTATCTGTGGTAAAATAATGAAATTTGGGCCAAACAAGATTCTTTTGTCATTTCCTTCATTAATTCTATTTTATATTCTCTGCTTTGCTTTCTTTTGTAACTGGGAAAGTAAACATGTTAAGTGAAATTAACTCTGTTTACTAAGATTTGCTTAACCCACTACATGACGTGCCCAGCAAACACAAGTCACCTCCTGCAGCGAGGACACATAATATCCACTATGCTGCTAGGTGTGTGTGAAGATCAGAGGTGTAATCTGTATTTTTTGGATGACAGCTTGATAATTAAACAATAATGCAATCCTGTAGTTGGTGCTGAGTTTAATCTCAAATTGAGTCAAGAAGGAAAGAACTTTTTTTTTTTAAATGGCCCTATAGCAATAGACCAGTAATCCTTGTTTGTTTGCTTTTTATTTGTTTAACTGAAGCCTTAAATAGAGTGATTTACAAAAGTCATCTAAGAAAAGAATACTAGAGGTAATGTAGTAGTATATTTATGAAATGTCTTGGGAAATAAATATTTATTCTAATATGTCTACAAAACAGTGAGTCATAGAAGTAGCAGGGATTGCAAATTTGGGGGTGTTGTACTATTATGCAGCATAATCTTGATACATTGGGGATATGGGTAAAATCAGTGACATCAGAATCACAAAACTGGAATGAATGTGAAAGGTGCTGCAAGGAGGGATAATGGGACCAAAAAGTACAATGAATAGCTAGAGATGGTAGCAGCAGAAAGAAAAATTCACGAGTTACAGTGGATGATAAATTGATTGAGTTGACATTCTAATACCTGTTAAAATATTCAAATGCTACAGTGTGTTGAATTGCAATGGTGATGTCATGCATAAAAATGGATTGAGCTACATTCAGGTCTTGTTAGGCTGCAATTTGGAGACTAAGCTCAACAAAAAAGCACATTTCAAAAAGGAGACAAATTGCCAAGCATTTGGTGGAGATACAATGCAAATGATAAAAAGATCTTGAAAACATGAGCTGTGAGAGGAGCTTGTGAAACTTGAAAATCTCAAAAAATAAAAAAAAAAGACACAGAAAAGATGATGGCCTTTTTCTATGCATAAAAGCATTATAAAGAGAATAGAAATTGGTTTCTTTCACTGGTTGGTGCAAATAAGCAAGAAATAATAGGCCTAAGTCTCACTGAGTAGAAAAAAAATAGTACATAGTATTACTGCAGATGAACTGTTATTTAAAATCTCTTTGTTAAAACACAATGTTGTACAGTTAACTGTACAGAGATCAAATATGGTATTATAGGGTTTTCTCTAAGTAATAAATTTGACCAGAAGTTAAATATGTATCATAATAATGTATTTAAATACTGTTAAAGGGCACAATTTAAAGCTGTAAGCCAATACAAAGTAAAGTTTTAAAGCATTTAATCAAAAGCATTACTAAATAGATAATAATGTCCATTCCCTAACATAAATTGAAGACTGGTATCTTCACTATACTTAAAAAAATACCCTGAAACAACACAGCACCTTGTTATATAGTAAATGTTTATTGAATTGAAATGAATTGAGTATTCATTTTGAAACCGAAAAAAAAAGTCAATTCTATAATAAAAATTCTAAGTAGAGGCACATCTCTACTTTGCAACATACATAATACATGAGCTTCACTACTTATTCAATTAATTATAGCATTACTAGTATTGTCTTTAATGATGATCATAAAGCTATATTTTCTTTACTATATTGAGCATTTACTACATTATGGGTGCTGGCTAAGTGCTTTTTGTGTATTATCTCACTATTTTTATTTTTTATTTTACCAAAACCAAATTCTAAATTTACAAAGGTTATGCAACTTGCCAAGATTATATGATAATAGGTGGTAGAGCTGGACTTCTTTACCCAGCTTGCCTGCCCCCTAACACTGTTGTATGTGGTTCTGTGGTATATTACACTACTATATATCAGTAAGATACATTAGTTCAAATATGGTAAAATAAATAAATAAAAATTGTCCTACAGACCTCAAGTACTCACTTCGGTGAGTAAGCAACAGCTTTATGTACATGGGTTGCATGGTGCTATATGGCAGAAGCCAGTGGTTTTTGAACCTGAACATGCACCTGAAACATCAGATGGGATTAAAACAGTTTGTTGGGCTCCACCCTCTGAGTTTCTGATTTAGTAGGTAGAATGAGGCCCAAGGTTTTGTATTTTTAACAAGTTCCCAGGTAATGTTGATGCTGTTGATATAGGTACCACACTTTGGGAATCGCTGGTGTAGGGAAAGGTTACTGTTTTCAGAGTTGAGACACTTGTGATCAAATTGAAGTTGTTTCCCTAAATAACCTTGGAAAAGTCTTTTAGTTTCCTCATCTGCAAAATGGCAATCATATTACTAACCACACAGGTCATGAGAGTTATGTAAAAGAATGCCTATATAATACTTAACCTTTGCAGAAAATTATAAAACACTAGTGTTCTTCAGAGTTACCCTCTACTTGTTTTCACTATCTTTGGGTAGTGGGTCGTGTGAATTTTAAGTGGGGACAGTAGAGATAGTAACACTTATTGAATGCCTTCAATGCTCAATCTACCCTCTATAAGTTTTGAGTCTTACAAGGATGTGACCTGTGACATAAAATGTAAAACAAAATGCTACCTTAGAGATTCTCAATTAGGAGCAGGAGGACATTTGCCCCTTTTCCCCTATTTTGAAGAACAGTGCCTGTCTTGGCCTCCTGGCAAATATAACTGTTTCATCCTTGCTCTTAATCAGTTGCTATTCATGGCAAATGTCCCTTTGTCCACCAGAACTCACTTTATCTCATAGTGTAGAGAGCTCCAGATAACTGTGTTCCTTTATGTCTGATCCTTCTCATCAATGTTTGCTTTTCTTATGTGAGAACATAAAGGTGGAGGGACAAAAGGCTCTTTTCACTATGGTCTGTGTATATCTCGTCCAGAAACCTCATGTTTTCTTTCTCCAAAACATAGATCCGAACTTACTGTTTATGTTTCCAAGTTGGTGTGGTCCTATTTCCTCAGTTCTTTATACCACTATTTTTCTTTTTCTTATTATAAAACTGTTCCACTCTAAATTTTCATAGGCTAAAGTCAGACCTGCCACTCTAGTGCTGTAACCAGCATAGACATTTTGTAGACCAGTGAATACAGCAAGGAGTTTGTATGGAATAGCAAAAAGAACAGGGCTGCCCGCCCTTCCAATGAGCTGGGCTTAGGAATTAGCTTGTCCTTTGTCATTAAACGGTTGTGGCTTTAGACAAGTCAGTTAACTTCTCAAAATCTCAACTGTATTTCTGAAGTAAGGAGATTGCCCCCAAATTTCCAGTGCTTATATCAGCTCTAAAAGTTCAAAATTTCACACTCACTCAATATAAAACTTCAGGGCACTTTTTTTGTTGCATCATATGCTTAGAAAAATAACTTTAAGGATAATCATCTTCCTTCCTTCACCTTTCTGCCATAGGAATTTTATATATCAGTAGTTATAGCTATTCAGTTCATTGTGAATTTTTGCCTGCAGAGTCCTAGCACAGAAACTTAGAGATTGGTCATAAGAGTCTTTAAAGAAGAAAATGGTATGGGCACTTCTGGCATTCACAGTTATCATCAAAATCATCATTACTATTGACACCTCATTTTCAATTTATTCCTTCATAGTTCTTTAAGGTTGAAAAATAAAATATTTAATATGCTCCATCCCTCATTGTGGACAGTTGCAATATTGTAGGACCAGATTCACCAGTCTACATATGGGTAATGGCATGTCTGGTTAATAGTCAACTTGACTTTCTTTTTTTAAAAAAACGAGATCTCGTTCTATTATCCAAGTGCAGTGGCACTGTCATAAGTTACTTCACCCTCAAACTCCTAGGCTCAAGTAACACTCCCACTTCAGCATCCCAATATATCTAGGCCTACAGCCCCACACCACCACACCTGGCTAATTTTTTTTTTTTTTTGAGACAGGGTCTCACTATATTGCCCAGGCTTGCTGGTCCTAAACTCCTGGTCTCAAGCAATCCTCCTGCCTTAGTCTGTCAAAGTGCTGGGATCGACTGGACTTTTAACTTTTCTAAAATAAGATGCTATTGCATATTTCTTCCATAGTTATAAGTTTACTTGTTTTAACCAGTATTAGTTCAAACTCTTACAGTACTTGATTCAGATGTAAAACATACTGAGCCTCTGCCATGTTCCAGCCATCATGCTGAAAGTCACCAGGGATCCAATGATGAACAAAAGAACATGCCTCCTACCTTACAATCTAATGGGGTAGACCAATGCTAATCAGACGTCAGATGTAATACAAATAATGTAGTATTTTAACTGTGATGAGAAGCCAGATGGAAGGTTTATAGGAGAAGGACAATTTGACCTGTCAGTAAAAAGTTCACTTCCCTGCAGAATGGCAACTGAACTGGGGTCTACAGGAGAGATGCACATTCTTTAGACTAAGAAGGAAAGGAGGTGTTAAGTGGAAACAACAGTGTGTAAAAATGAGCTTCCTTCACAACATCTTTTCTCAAGATTAGATTCTTGATACTTTCAAAAAGTTTAGCTGATTGGGCAGAATCCGTACTGAAACAAGAACATCCTCTAAAAATTTTGCAAGCTAATTTTTAATTTAATCAGTTTGTTTTGTTTTTATTTGCTGAGAGGAGCAAAAATCCCAGTAAGTTGATTATGCTCCTTCATCAAAGCTTTAGAGGATCTCTATTCTAACATCAGAATATGTCACCAAACAAGTGTTTTGGAAAAGCTATATAGAAGAAAAATAATATATGAAATGTAGTGAGTGTACTTGCTATCTGAATTTATCCTATTGTGAATTCTTTTGTCAAAATGAAAATCCTTTTCATAGACAGGAATTGCTACCTGGTTTATTATTTGTATAATTACAGGTCTTCATATATTACAATTAACTTAAATAGTGGTTATACCTGAATATAGACAAGAACTTTTTATCCTTCTTTTCAACTAAGCTTTTCTAAAATCACACTGAAAATACCACTATTCCTTGCTATTTAGAGAATTTAATACATGCCAACTCAGTTCAGTCCATCATGAGATAAATGTTTGACTTAATGACCTACTTGAGGGACTAACTAATCTGGTTGTATTTTTAATTTAGTTTTTATATAGCAGGGACTTTAATTGCTTCTACAGCTAATATAACTCCAGTGAGTGCATATTTCTATTCATTTTCTTATAGTCACATTTAGTTTCTAATCTAAATGCATTAACGACTTTATATTCTAATTTAAAATGCAGAAATAATCATACACTTGTATTCCTTTTCCTAACACTTTGGTCTTTTTCATGACATTTTACTTTTTTAAAAAATTATATTACTAGCCATGCATAGAGGCACATAGTCAATAGTTATTTTTTCAAAGTATCTTAATTTTTACATAAGTATGCTTTTTTGAAGGTGATGTGATTTAATTTTTTTCTTTGCAGTATAATTGGATCTCCCCCATTACTGCCAATAGTAATTTTCTTATTGTGCTAGTATTGTTTGCCTAAAATTATACTGCTTTCAGACACTTCTGTGTCTTCTATCAAAAGATATATGCCTATTGATTAGTTGTAGAATAGCTCTATTTTAATAGCCCAACTGTTTATTACAGTACAAGTGCTCAGTGAATATAGATTCACATGGGCAACTAAGAACAACGCTTATTAAACTTATAATAATAAGCATTATTATTTGCTAAACTGGAATTTTGTTGGCTGAGTAGCCAAAAAAATTTGCAGATTCCAAAATATTTGTACTAAGACACAGTGAGTATGTTATACTGACAGATTGCGTATAAAACTCATTGCAATCATTGCCAACCACTACAAAGAAGAGATTTCCTTCACATTTTCCTAATGTAATATAAGCATTCATATTATCAGTAAGGGGAGTCCTTCAACAACACTAATATTTCCTTTTTGTTTACTTTTTCCCCTTGTGATTAAGGCTTAAGACTGATTCTATACATATAATTCACTCTATTTCAAAATAAAAATGAAAATAATTTATGTTAGTCTTCTAATGATACTGTGGTAACAATTTAACATTGTGAAAAATATGGTAAAATATGGAAGCATCAATATTGTTTCATTTTATGTATATATAATGAATATATATATATACATATATATAAAGTATTTGAAAAGTAGGAAAATTAGAACTTTCATCGTTCAGAAATTCTTGGCAGTAACAGCAAAATTAAAGCACACCCACATACATCTGTGGGTTGAATAGTGGCCTCCAAAAGATGCCTTCAAATCCTAATCCCCACATGTAAATGTGATTTTATTTAGAAGTAGGATTGTTGCAGATGTAAAAAGTTACGGATCTCAGTATGAGATCATCCTAGATTTAGCGAAATCTCTAAATCTGGTGATGAGTGTCCCTATAGGGGAAAAGTAGTCAGAGAGAGATACCGGGAGTAAGTCATGTAAAGACAGAGGAGCGCCAAGAATTGCTGGAGCCATTAGAAGCTGGAGAGAGGCATGGGTATATTTTCCCTTAGAGTCTTCAGGATAAACCCACCATGGTTTTGAACTTCTGCTCTCAGACCAGCGAGAGAATAAATTTCTGTGATTTCAAGCCACCAAGTTTATGGTAATTTATTTGGCAGCTCTAGAAAACTAATGCACACACCTTCAGTCTCTGCCTTATATTCAAGCCTTGATGTATAATCAGTAGTTTTGATTTTTTTCCTTTGTTTGATGGAATATCAGGGAGGTATTGCAAATTAAATTTTTCACTTTAACAAACTTCATCCTTATTTTTACTTAAGATTTACATTAAGAAAAGGAGGAATAAAAATACTGAGGATGCAGTTTCTTCTTGTTGCTCACAAAATTAAGATAAAATTATAATCATCAGCCATTATAATATTATTTTTAACTGTATAGGGAAAAAATCATGGGAGTGATCCATTCAATGAAATAGAATAATATATGGAAATTTCCCTAAAATTCATAGCAAAAAAAAAAAAAACCTACCCATACTTATTTTTCAGGATCTCTTTACTTCTAACTATTAGAGTTCCTTCATTTTTTTCTTTCTAATGACTTGAGATTCCACTTATAATTATGAAATCAAATAGAAAAAAATAAAGTGACTTATATTTAATTTTCATATATAAATAAACCTTATTTTATCCTATTTAATAGGATATTATATTTAATTTTCATATATAAATATTATTTCATCCTGAGATATACAGAGCAGGCATTCAACATGTACTGTTTACTCATTTTCTTCAGACATATGTAATACCATAACCAATTACATGTATATATGCATGTATACACCTTAAATATTTCAATTTTTCACAAAATAATAAACCATGTCAACTCTTTTAAAATCTATTTCTCAGGTATACCATCTCACAATGCAAAATGCCCCTTTTTGCCTAATTTGTAACTTTTTCATTCAATTATGCCATCCTCCTTTTTGCCAGAAGCTAGGTTATTTTGTTTTGTTTTCAATAATTTTCTGTTACTTCATAAAATAGGACTAGATTCTTAACTATTTAAGTGAGTATCCTTTGTCAAATTTAATTATATCAGTATTCCTTAAAATACACATATATATGAAATTCATAATGCATTTCACTGCTTTTCACGTAAAAAGAAAACAGGAAGCTCAAAATACATTTCAGCAAAATCATAGAACATCTCGGCTTGGATGTGAATAAGAAAATTTCTCTTTTTAAAAAGTACAGCATTTTTTAATATGATGAATCAATTAAATACAACTGTCAATTAAAGGCCTAGAGAATTGTATTTTGAGCAATACACATAAACACGCACACAAGTAGCAAAATTTGTTTTGGCCAAAATAAAATCCATTTTTGGTTGGGAAACTTTTAATTGAGAAAAATGTATTATTGTTCTTCTACTCAAGACAGCTTTATGGTTATGCCAAAAAACTCAACAAAATGGCAATAATCAATTCTTCCCAGTCTGAGGAATCAGCCTTGTTAATCTCAGTGTCCTTGACAGTTCATTAGAGATTAAGGTAAACCACATTTGCACTGATTCCTCACATTTTTGGAAGTAGTACGTTGATGGATAAGATAAATCTGTGTAATTTTTCAACATTTCTGTGAAGAATACAAAAGATGATGACAATTGCTATAAATCATCCTGAGCAACAAATGTTATTTGTCGAGATGTAGCCTAATATAATCCAGTGGGGCTTTCATAGACACTCAGACCTGGGTCGTGATTTGAATGAGGACAGTGCTTGTGTATTTGCTATGGTAACTAATGTTTCATTCTTATAATTTATCTTTCATCTTAAGAAGTTAAGCTAAAGTGCTAATTCCCAATTACTGTGATTCAGACAACACCATTAATTTTTGTTTCTATAGTTAGGCTTTATATGATAGCAGGTACTTAGATTTACAGTGCCCTGACCAGAGCTGAGTGAAGAAGCAGTTTAAATATTCATAGTCAGGATGGAGCAGATGAGTTGAAAAGCCAAGGATAAGAGGCAGGCGATTATCAGGATACAATTTCTCATCTTTAACAAACACTGGAGTCTATAAATAGGGCAATTTATCAGCCATTTCACAACTTCTACTACAATTGTATACCTCTTAAGTATTAAATTATGTTATGCTCTTAGAGCTATTTATATTGGCAGCCTGCTGTTCAGTGTTTTAGACTGAGTCATCATAGATATCTTAATTTTTCTACCTATAAAGCATTTTTTAACTCTTTTAGGTATAATTGGTGCTGGATATATTGCAAGAAAATCATAAGGGTTCTTAAATACCCAGCATTTAGGCTTTTCAGTAGGATGTGTTTAACATTGGACCAAAAAAAAAAAAAAAACTAGACAAGTCACGAATTTTCCTCTATTTGCTTTTTTTCTTTACCTTTTTGTAGGTCTTTATCATTCTTGCCTTTGTCATTCACAATGAATTTTTTGGCCTCTGTGCATTTCTCACTTGTGTTGTTTCTGTCTTTTTACTTTTCCTTTGATGTCTCCTTTTTGACCTTTTCTTTTTAATGTTATCTGGGCCACTCAGTTTCTTATGTTTTTGTGCTTTGGCAATTATATTTTATAAAGTGATCTTATAGCCCAGCTACTTAACGTTCATCATCCCTCTTTCTGACTATCCAATTTTATTTCTGCAGAATTAATAGCAATTTTATATATGGAACTTAAACCTTTAAAAAGTAATTTCATATATATTACTTAAACTTAGATCAAGTGAGTGTCCCTTTCAAAGTACATTTACCTTAATTTTAAAAGCCACTTGAAAGGAGTGCAGTTACTTTAAAGAGTAATCTTTTGATAGATTTAGGCTGTTAAGAGTTAAGATCCCTTGTCCCCCACCAGCAAGTCTCTTTCTTTTCATATAGAAAGAGCTGCATATGCCTCTTTGCAAACATGCAAAATTAAAATATTAAGAAGTACTGAATATCATTTTAGAACATATTCAGATAATTTTAAATACATTTATTCTGTTCTCCACCAGGTTTCTCCAATGCTATTCTTTTGAATTTCACAGGGCCATTGCAGACTGTTTTTTGGACTACCTTTTCCTTTGTTTCGAGATTTTCCTATTTCTTTTGGTTATACTTAAGGTTCAGTGGGAATGCAAATGCTGTTTAGGCACAAGTGAGAAAGCTCCCTAGAAACAGAACCACCCTAGCTTCAGCATGAAAGGTGCCTAGCAAACAGCATTGCTTCCTAGTGATCTTTCCACCCATCACTGACTATGCGTTTCACTTGGGATTCTGTATCCTCTTTGCTAGGGGGCATTGTAGAGATTTCTAGAAACCATATTCTTCCTGGTTGCCAGGGTTTTTATGAATTTAGTGGTACTATATTTGATTGACAAGTATACTAGTAAAGTTAGGTGGGATTATAAAAGTGTATTTTATTATAATGCTTTAAACTTGAGACATATTATCAATCATGTTTTTCAATAAATTACTCATTCACTTTCAGTGAGATTCTTATTTTTACTACTGCTTTTTAAAAATTCCATTACTCATTTGGGAAAGATGGTTGTTATTCCATTTCAATAATAATAAAAATAATGAGGAGGAGGAGTGTCATTATCAAATATTGAGAACAATTTGCTATTTTCCCAGAACTGGGCAGTGCACATTGTGGAGATAAAGCCCCTGCCAAACCCTTTATATACACTAGGCCCTGTGCTAAGCACTGGACAGACATCTCATTTAATCATTGTAACAGCCCTGTAAGGAATTATTATCCCCATTTTCCAGAAGGGGAAACTGACACATAGGCACAAAAAGTTGCCCATTCCTTCTAAACAGCATTAGGTTCTATTCACAGTGGCTTCATTAGCAGCAGACAAGAGGCTAAAGAATGAGAATAGAAAGAAATGAGAATAGAGGACACTATGAACAAGGTCAAACTTTGTAAATGCAGGTTATTTTTCAGTTTGCTATTTCAAAGTCATGAATTTCCTATCCCCATAGAGGTAAGGGTGTAAGCATTTGTAAGGCAGAACAAGATTTGGAATATTTTCTTTTTTTTTTTTTTAACCAATGCATGAGTTTTAATTGGATGCTAGTTTCAGAGGGAAAACATCTTTTTTTTTAATTGTTAATTTATTATTATTATACTTTAAGTTTTAGGGTACATGTGCACAATGTGCACGTTACTTACATATGTATACATGTGCCATGCTGGTACGCTGCAACCACTAACTCGTCATCTAGCATTAGGTATATCTCCCAGTGCTATCCCTCCCCCCTCCCCCCAACCCACAACAGTCCCCAGAGTGTGATGTTCCCCCTCCTGTGTCCATGTGTTCTCATTGTTCAATTCCCACCTATGAGTGAGAATATGCGGTGTTTGGTTTTTTGTTCTTGTGATAGTTTACTGAGAATGATGATTTCCAATTTCATCCATGTCCCTACAAAGGACATGAACTCATCATTTTTTATGGCTGCATAGTATTCCATGGTGTATATGTGCCACATTTTCTTAATCCAGTCTATCATTGATGGACCTTTGGGTTGGTTCCAAGTCTTTGCTGTTGTGAATAATGACACAATAAACATACATGTGCATGTGTCTTTATAGCAGCATGATTTATAGTCCTTTGGGTATATACCCAGTAATGGGATGGCTGGATCAAATGGTATTTCTAGTTCTAGATCCCTGAGGAATCGCCACACTGACTTCCACAATGGTTGAACTAGTTTACAGTCCCACCAACAGTGTAAAAGTGTTCCTATTTCTCCACATCCTCTCCA
Source organism: Homo sapiens (assembly GCF_000001405.40). Lineage (NCBI taxonomy): Eukaryota > Metazoa > Chordata > Mammalia > Primates > Hominidae > Homo > Homo sapiens. The sequence continues at coordinate 72,635,157 of NC_000012.12, forward strand.
GCACCTGTTGTTTCCTGACTTTTTAATGATTGCCATTCTAACTGGTGTGAGATGGTATCTCATTGTGGTTTTGATTTGCATTTCTTTGATGGCCAGTGATGGTGAGCATTTTTTCATGTGTTTTTTGGCTGCATAAATGTCTTCTTTTGAGAAGTGTCTGTTCATGTCCTTTGCCTACTTTTTGATGGGGTTGCTTGTTTTTTTCTTGTAAATTTGTTTGAGTTCATTGTAGATTCTGGATATTAGCCCTTTGTCAGATGAGTAGGTTGCGAAAATTTTCTCCCATTCTGTAGGTTGCCTGTTCACTCTGATGGTAGTTTCTTTTGCTGTGTAGAAGCTCTTTAGTTTAATGAGATCCCATTTGTCAATTGTGGCTTTTGTTGCCATTGCTTTTGGTGTTTTAGACATGAAGTCCTTGCCCGTGCCTATGTCCTGAATGGTAATGCCTAGGTTTTCTTCTAGGGTTTTTATGGTTTTAGGTCTAACGTTTAAGTCTTTAATCCATCTTGAATTGATTTTTGTATAAGGTGTAAGGAAGGGATCCAGTTTCAGCTTTCTACATATGGCTAGCCAGTTTTCCCAGCACCATTTATTAAATAGGGAATCCTTTCCCCATTGCTTGTTTTTCTCAGGTTTGTCAAAGACCAGATAGTTGTAGATATGCAGCATTATTTCTGAGGGCTCTGTTCTGTTCCATTGATCTATATCTCTGTTTTGGTACCAGTACCATGCTCTTTTGGTTACTGTAGCCTTGTAGTATAGTTTGAAGTCAGGTAGCATGATGCCTCCAGCTTTGTTCTTTTGGCTTAGGATTGACTTGGCGATGTGGGCTCTTTTTTGGTTCCATATGAACTTTAAAGTAGTTTTTTCCAATTCTGTGAAGAAAGTCATTGGTAGCTTGATGGGGATGGCATTGAATCTGTAAATTACCTTGGGCAGTATGGCCATTTTCATGATATTGATTCTTCCTACCCATGAGCATGGAATGTTCTTCCATGTGTTTGTATCCTCTTTTATTTCATTGAGCAGTGGTTTGTAGTTCTCCTTGAAGAGGTCCTTCAGATCCCTTGTAAGTTGGATTCCTAGGTATTTTATTCTCTTTGAAGCAATTGTGAATGGGAGTTCACTCATGATTTGGCTCTCTGTTTGTCTGTTGTTGTTGTATAAGAATGCTTGTGATTTTTGTACATTGATTTTGTATCCTGAGACTTTGCTGAAGTTGCTTATCAGCTTAAGGAGATTTTGGGCTGAGACAATGGGGTTTTCTAGATATACAATCATGTTGTCTGCAAACAGGGACAATTTGACTTCCTCTTTTCCTAATTGAATACCCTTTATTTCCTTCTCCTGCCTAATTGCCCTGGCCAGAACTTCCAACACTATGTTGAATAGGAGTGGTGAGAGAGGGCATCCCTGTCTTGTGCCAGTTTTCAAAGGGAATGCTTCCAGTTTTTGCCCATTCAGTATGATATTGGCTATGGGTCTGTCATAGATAGCTCTTATTATTTTGAAGTACGTCCCATCAATACCTAATTTATTGAAAGTTTTTAGCATGAAGAGTTGTTGAATTTTGTCAAAGGCCTTTTCTGCATCTATTGAGACAATCATGTGGTTTTTGTCTTTGGTTCTATTTATATGCTGGATTACATTTATTGATTTGCATATATTGAACCAGCCTTGCATCCCAGGGATGAAGCCCACTTGATCATGGTGGATAAGCTTTTTGATGTGCTGCTGGATTCGTTTTGCCAGTATTTTATTGAGGATTTTTGCATCAATGTTCATCAAGGATATTGGTCTAAAATTCTCTTTTTTGGTTGTGTCTCTGCCAGGCTTTGGTATCAGGATGATGCTGGCCTCATAAATGAGTTAGGGAGGATTCCCTCTTTTTCTATTGATTGGAATAGTTTCAGAAGGAATGGTACCAGTTCCTCCTTGTACCTCTGGTAGAATTCGGCTGTGAATCCATCTGGTCCCGGACTCTTTTTGGTTGGTAAGCTATTGATTATTGCCACAATTTCAGATCCTGTTATTGGTCTATTCAGAGATTCAACTTCTTCCTGGTTTAGTCTTGGGAGAGTGTTTGTGTCGAGGCATTTATCCATTTCTTCTAGATTTTCTAGTTTATTTGCATAGAGGTGTTTGTAATATTCTCTGATGGTAGTTTGTATTTCTGTGGGATTGGTGGTGATATCCCCTTTATCATCTTTTATTGCATCTATTTGATTCTTTTCTCTTTTTTTCTTTATTAGTCTTGCTAGCGGTCTATCAATTTTGTTGATCCTTTCAAAAAACCAGCTCCTGGATTCATTAATTTTTTGAAGGGTTTTTTGTGTCTCTATGTCCTTCAGTTCTGCTCTGATTTTAGTTATTTCTTGCCTTCTGCTAGCTTTTGAATGTGTTTGCTGTTGCTTTTCTAGTTCTTTTAATTGTGATGTTAGGGTGTCAATTTTGGATCTTTCCTGCTTTCTCTTGTGGGCATGTAGTGCTATAAATTTGCCTCTACACACTGCTTTGAATGCGTCCCAGAGATTCTGGTATGTTGTGTCTTTGTTCTTGTTGGTTTCAAAGAACACCTTTATTTCTGCCTTCATTGTGTTATGTACCCAGTAGTCATTCAGGAGCAGGTTGTTCAGTTTCCATGTAGTTGAGTGGTTTTGAGTGAGATTCTTAATCCTGAGTTCTAGTTTGATTGCACTGTGGTCTGAGAGATAGTTTGTTATAATTTCTGTTCTTTTACATTTGCTGAGGAGAGCTTTACTTCCAAGTATGTGGTCCGTTTTGGAATAGGTGTGGTGTGGTGCTGAAAAAAATGTATATTCTGTCGATTTGGGGTGGAGAGTTCTGTAGATGTCTATTAGGTCCGCTTGGTGCAGAGCTGAGTTCAATTCCTGGGTATCCTTGTTGACTTTCTGTCTCGTTGATCTGTCTAATGTTGACAGTGGGGTGTTAAAGTCTCCCATTATTAATGTGTGGGAGTCTAAGTCTCTTTGTAGGTCACTCAGGACTTGCTTTATGAATCTGGGTGCTCCTGTATTGGGTGCATATATATTTAGGATAGTTAGCTCTTCTTGTTGAATTGATCCCTTTACCATTATGTAATGGCCTTCTTTGTCTCTTTTGATCTTTGTTGGTTGAAAGTCTGTTTTATCAGAGACTAGGATTGCAACCCCTGCCTTTTTTTGTTTTCCATTTGCTTGGTAGATCTTCTTCCATCCCTTTATTTTGAGCCTATGTTTGTCTCTGCACGTGAGATGGGTTTCCTGAATACAGCACACTGATGGGTCTTGACTCTTTATCCAATTTGCCAGTCTGTGTCTTTTAATTGGAGCATTTAGTCCATTTACATTTAAAGTTAATATTGTTATGTGTGAATTTGATCCTGTCATTATGATGTTAGCTGGTGATTTTGCTTATTAGTTGATGCAGTTTCTTCCTAGTCTCGATGGTCTTTACATTTTGGCATGATTTTGCAGCGGCTGGTACCGGTCGTTCCATTCCATGTTTAGTGCTTCCTTCAGGAGCTCTTTTAGGGCAGGCCTGGTGGTGACAAAATCTCTCAGCATTTGCTTGTCTGTAAAGTATTTTATTTCTCCTTCACTTATGAAGCTTAGTTTGGCTAGATATGAAATTCTGGGTTGAAAATTCTTTTCTTTAAGAATGTTGAATATTGGCCCCCTCTCTCTTCTGGCTTGTAGGGTTTCTGCTGAGAGATCTGCTGTTAATCTGATGGGCTTCCCTTTGAGGGTAACCCGACCTTCCTCTCTGGCTGCCCTTAACATTTTTTCCTTCATTTCAACTTTGGTGAATCTGACAATTATGTGTCTTGGAGTTGCTCTTCTCGAGGAGTATCTTTGTGGCATTCTCTGTATTTCCTGAATCTGAATGTTGGCCTGCCTTGCTAGATTGGGGAAGTTCTCCTGGATAATATCCTGCAGAGTGTTTTCCAACTTGGTTCCATTCTCCCCATCACTTTCAGGTACACCAATCAGACGTAGATTTGGTCTTTTCACATAGTCCCATATTTCTTGGAGGCTTTGCTCATTTCTTTTTATTCTTTTTTCTCTAAACTTCCTTTCTCGCTTCATTTCATTCATTTCATCTTCCATCGCTGATACCCTTTCTTCCAGTTGATTGCATCGGCTCCTGAGGCTTCTGCATTCTTCACGTAGTTCTCGAGCCTTGGTTTTCAGCTCCATCAGCTCCTTTAAGCACTTCTCTGTATTGGTTATTCTAGTTATACATTCTTCTAAACTTTTTTCAAAGTTTTAAACTTCTTTGCCTTTGGTTTGAATGTCCTCCCGTAGCTCGGAGTAATTTGATCATCTGAAGCCTTCTCTCAGCTCATCAAAGTCATTCTCCGTCCAGCTTTGTTCCGTTGCTGGTGAGGAACTGCGTTCCTTTGGAGGAGGAGAGGCGCTCTGCTTTTTAGAGTTTCCAGTTTTTCTGCTCTGTTTTTTCCCCATCTTTGTGGTTTTATCTACTTTTGGTCTTTGATGATGGTGATGTACAGATGGGTTTTTGGTGTGGATGTCCTTTCTGTTTGTTAGTTTTCCTTCTAACAGACAGGACCCTCAGCTGCAGGTCTGTTGGAGTACCCGGCCGTGTGAGGTGTCAGTCTGCCCCTGCTAGGGGGTGCCTCCCATTTAGGCTGCTCGGGGGGTCAGCAGTCAGGGACCCACTTGAGGAGGCAGTCTGCCCGTTCTCAGATCTCCAGCTGCGTGCTGGGAGAACCACTGCTCTCTTCAAAGCTGTCAGACAGGGACACTTAAGTCTGTAGAGGTTACTGCTGTCTTTTTGTTTGTCTGTGCCCTGCCCCCCAGAGGTGGAGCCTACAGAGGCAGGCAGGCCTCCTTGAGCTGTGGTGGGCTCCACCCAGTTCCAGCTTCCCTGCTGCTTTGTTTACCTAAGCAAGCCTGGGCAATGGTGGACGCCCCTCCCCCAGCCTCGCTGCCGCCTTGCAGTTTGATCTCAGACTGCTGTGCTAGCAATCAGCGAGACTCCGTGGGCGTAGGACCCTCCGAGCCAGGTGCGGGACACAATCTCCTGGTGTGCTGTTTTTTAAGCCCGTCGGAAAAGCACAGTATTCGGGTGGGAGTGACCCGATCTTCCAGGTGCCGTCTGTCACCCCTTTCTTTGACAAGGAAAGGGAACTCCCTGACCCCCTGCGCTTCCCGAGTGAGGCAATGCCTCGCCCTGCTTTGGCTCGCGCACGGTGCGTGCACCCACTGACCTGCGCCCACTGTCTGGCACTTCCTAGTGAGATGAACCCGGTACCTCAGATGGAAATGCAGAAATCACCCGTCTTCTGCATCGCTCACACTGGGAGCTGTAGACCGGAGCTGTTCCTATTCGGCCATCTTCTTCACTTACTTTTTCAATCCTTTGTTTCTTTATCAAATTATAGCTTCTTAGCATCAGAAAATTTTTGCCTGAAACAGTGACTTCTTTTTTAGAAATGGAGCTCTGAGTTCGATCTAAGTCTTAAAGTAATAAGGTTCACGCATCAATGCAGAAATCACCCGTCTTCTGCATCGCTCATGCTGGGAGCTGTAGACCGGAGCTGTTCCTATTTGGCCATCTTGGCTCCTCTCCAGATTTGGAATATTTTCAAGGAAGCCTCCACCAGAGGTTTTAATTTTCAGTTAGAGTAGGCAAACAATCCTTCAAATGAATTAATTAATTATAAATTAATTGTTAGGCCTCACTCTAAATCAATGGCACGTATACTACCACTGAAAGAATGAGGTGCTCTTAGAGAGGCTAGTGGTTTGAGAAATGTTTTTCATTGTCTTGGAAAATAATTAAATCCACATTTCAGTGTTAATACAATCACTAATGAAAGAATCTTGTACTCACAGAGCAAGAAGGGACTTTAGGACTCATGTGTTTATCCCTGTCCAATTAGGGTAAAAAATGAAGCCCAAAGAAATGACCTTGACTTACCTGGATCTAGAGGCAGTTACTGGTCAAATTAGGTCTGCCAAAAACTTGCTTAGAAATAGACTTATGTCATAAGTATCAAAATTTGTATTTTAAATATTTTTTTCTTTGGCAAGTATAATTTTCCTCTGTAAGATATTTTAAATTTATCTCTACATATTATTCAACAGCATTTTTATATATTGAATGTGTTTTCTTCTAACAGTAACAGAATTTATTTTTACAAATGTAATTATACATTTACTTATTTCCAAACTAATTATAAAAGTTATTAAAGGATTTCCAAAATATATGAGTTTAAGAAAAGAAAGAGTAGTTACCTATAATGACCAAACCCTGAGGCAGATGTTAAGATCCTCGTCTGTCCTTTCAGTCTATTTTTACTAAGAACGTACACATTATGTTATTTTTGTAAACTTATGCAATGGTATTATACATATTATTCATTAATATATGCATTCTACTTTATCTTTGGTATATTTTATTATATGACTAATTATTAATCTATATCATTGTCAGTTGCTATTTGTATGTTAACTTAAACCAGTGCCTTATTGTTGATTTATTAGTTGAGTTCAGATTTTCTACCGCAAAGCAATGAAAACATTCACAGCAAAATCTTTGGAGACTGTCTTATTTATCTTATTAATTCATTTCACTGTTTTTCATTTAATAACTAAAATACCAATTCACTATGATTTAGTTTCATTCCACTGTTTTTATGAATGAATGACATATTTTTCATTCCACAGTTTTTATGAATGAACAATATATTTTTCTCCCAAATTTGTATGTTGAAATCCTAACCCCCAATATGATAGTATTAGGAAGTAGGGTCTTTGGGAGCTAAATCACAGTTTGTGATGCTGAAGCCCTCACAATGTGATTAAAGACCTCATGAAAGAAACCCCAGATTGTTTTTTAGCCCTGTTTCTGCCACGTGAGAATGCAAGAAGTCAGCAGTCTACAACCTGGCAGGAGGTCCTCTCAAGAACCTGACCATGCTGTTACCCTAGTCTCAGACATAGCCTCCAGTGCTGTGAGAAATAAATTTCTATTGTTTATAAGCCTCCCAGTATATGGTACTTTGTCATAGCTGTTCAGACTAAGGCAGCCATCATTATTATTTAACTTGGTGAAACATTTTTCCTGAAAGATGCATGTCTTTATTTTTCTACCTACTTAATTTTTTCACTTTTACTTCTAAAGCATTTGCTTTGAGTAAGATAACAAAGTTAAATATATCAGTAAAATATGAAAGTAAATTATTTCACAATGATACACTGAACTTCTATGCTTTCAAAAGTGTTATCGTACAAAGAACTCTGTCACAATCCTATTTAAAATGAGAATGGAATAAACTATCAAACAAGTTACTCTAATTAGGTAATAATTTCTGTAATGTCAGTATCCTAAAAAAGATGAAGGTATTTTATTTTGGCTAAGCATTACCCCGGGATTCATCTTGTATGAGGGTAGCTAGGAGAGGCTAACTCATTGTTCATGTTTATCATGTATACCGTACCTAGAGAAAAACAAACACAGTTTTCCTTCCCAGATAATAAAATTCTATTAAAGAATTTAATTCTCAAGCAGTGTTTAAAGAGAAATGACTGTGGGAATATTCACATTCTTATAAACAATTTCCATGTTCACTAGGAGGGGCCCTCTCCTTGTAATCCTAATATCAAGAGTCTCACAGGACTCATTTGTACTGTTCATAACTGTGGGTTCTGTGGGGTGTTTTTAGCTCACGCTTTACAAACAAATGGGCATTTTCATTTGTTTCTAATGACTTTGGTTTATACAAAGAGATCTTAAACTGTCCCTAGAGCAATCATTTTGCTGAAATGTTATTAGAACATCTTTACAAATTTAGCAACAAAAGGGGGTTTCATTAACAATGGAAGTCATTGGGAACTGAAGGCCCCTGGCATATCCGGTGCTTACCAATCTTGTTTCATTTATAGGCATGAGTAAAAATGATCTTGTGAACTTTAGATTGATTCATCTGCTGCATGGATAAAAAACATGAGGAGTTGATGGGGTGAGAAGAGGTGCTATTTGTTCTCTTCTAAGGAGTCATTTAAACCTATGCAATTGTACCTATTAGCAACTGCTAATAGGGCTATTTCTTCCCTGATATTTTGAGGATTTGTAGCTGAGACTGAGGACTATTTTTCAATGGACCATCAACATGCTTTAAGTTGTATATGTAAATATATGTGTGTTTCATTTTCATAGTAATGACATTTCATCAAATTTGATATCTCTGCTATGTGACGAACAGCCATTGAGAAGACTGAAACTTGACCAGCAGTTTTTTGTAAAGCACATTCAAAGTATGCAGTCTTTCTCTTGATTTGAGGCTACAGATACAAATATAGAACCTGCCCTTGTTCTAGGCAGCTTTGCCTTCAGAGACCTTCTTTGCCCTGTATTTGTGTTAGATTCCTTCAGGGTGGTCTATCTGTTATTTTATCCATTTGTGTTAGATTCCTTCAGGGTGGTCTGTCTGTCATTTTATCCAACATTTTATTGCTGAATGTCCTTTCAGAATCTCTTCTTCTTGCTCTGCATATGACCAGCTTGCCATACAGTAGCTCCTTAAGTATACTGCTACTTTATGTCCTTTTAACTCACCCAGAGGCTGTGTTTTAACAAGTATCACTTCAATGCTGGTGAACAGAATGAATACTTATTGTCAGAAATCCAGTCTTTCCAACATCAAACATTTATCAAAGATGACTGATTAAACTGTGGATTTTTAAAAAAAGTAATTAAAAAAAGTTACAGGTAACATTTGTGTACAGTTCAACTCTCAGAAGATTATATGCTGGATGCCTTGGTATTACTCTGTGGCTCACTGGTTAGGCCCAGGTCATGGCAATGATACCCTCTTGAAGGGTATACAATGTTTGGTGTGGTGTCAGCAAGATGGTAGAGCAGGAAGCACTAGATTCTTCTTCCTTTGACAAACACAATGATTCAGCAACAATTTATGGGCATATTCCCTTAGTGAGAAATCCAGAAACTAATTGAAATGTTCCTGTATCATTAGTGAGTGTAAAACCACTCATCAAAGCTAGTAGAGAGATTCAGGACACACATTTATCAGAATCTCTACTCCCTAGCACATAGGCAAATGATCAGAAAGAGAATTCCTCCTCCCGGCTTCTCCCAGGGGAGAAATGAGGTAGGTTCATGCATCGAGTATCTTACCATTTTCAAGGGTATCCCCAGAAGACTGGCTTCTGTCTTGCCTGCCTTGGAACTCTAAAAAGTCTAGCACAATCTAGCCGTGTGAGGGAGAATGGAGATGGTGGCTTGAGCAAGAGATGCCATATTTTTTTTTCCCCTTGGTCAGCACAGAGTGATGGGAAAAGAAAAATCCCAATTCTTGACAGCCTCTTAGGGAGAGATTTGATCCATGCTTCCAGTGCTTCAACGTTTCTGGTGCTGCCCAAAGAATGAGCATTTGCTTTACTAGTCTTGGAGCTCTGACAGATCTGCCATAGTCTAGCTAGCTGGAGGAAGACAGAGATAGGAGTTTGGACTAATAAGTGTCATAGATCTTTTCTACTGCTCAGCACAGAGCAAATAGAGGGAAAATCCCAGCTCTTGGTTTCCCCATGGGGAGGGAAAGAGTTGAACTGTGCATCTACTGCTCAAACTTCTCTGGGGCACCCCAAAGAATTAACATTCTACTTCTCAGTCTTGGCATTCTGATGGGCCTGGTGCAGGCTAGCCACTGAGGGGAGAACAGAAGCAGTGGCTTGGACTGTTAAGACACTGCAGCTTCTCCCCAGCTCAGCACAGAGCAAGCAGACAAAACCACAGCTACCTGCTTCTCCCTGGGAATAAAGACAGTTAGTAGAGGTTCCCAGAATCTCTAGCTAGGCTATTGGGTGAGTATCTTCTTCTGTACAAGGCCAGTTTGTGAATTTGGAGAATTGATTAACGTGTAGACATGAACTGATAGTCAGAAAAAAATAAAAATCTAGGAAAGATGTCCCAAACAAAGGAACAAGATAAGTCTTCAAAAGTTGACCATAATGAAACATATGATTTACCTGACAGATACTTCAAAAAAACTATCATAAAGAAGATCACTGAAGTCAAGAGTACAGTGCATTAAAAAATGATAATTTAAACAAGGAGATATAAAACATTTAAAAGTACTAAACAGGTGATGAAGCTGAACAACACAATAACGTAACTGAAAAATTTACTGTTAATAGAAGGGTTAAACAGCAGATCAGACTCGTGAAGATGGATTGATCAGCAACCTTAAAGACAAGTATTTAAAAATTTACTTAAAAGAGCAAAAATGTAAAATAATGAAAAGAAGTGAACAAAGCTTAAGGGACTTTTGGGATACCAGCAAATGGACCAATATATACATCATGTAAGTCCAAGAAGCAGAAAATAAAGAGAAAGGACTAGACAGCTCTTTCAAAGATATAATGGCTGAAAACTTCACAAATCTAGAGAACGAAATGGACATTCAGAAGCAAAAAACCCAAACACCCCAAATAGTGACCCTAAGGAAATGTACATCAAGACACATTATAATTAAATTGGCAAAAGTAAAAAAGAGAATTTTGAAAGCAGCAAAAGTAAAGTGACTTGGCACCTGCTAAGGAACACTTACAGAAATATCAAAAGATTTTTCAGCAGAAATCTTGCAAGCTAGAAGGAAGTGGGATGATATATTCAAAATGCTGAAAGGAAAAAGAAAATTGTCAACCAAGAAAACTATACAAGCAATAATGTCATTTACAAATAAAAGAAAAATAATGACTTTCTCGGACAAATAAAAGCCAAGTGAGGTCATCACCAGCAGACTTGCCTTGAAAGAAATGCTAAAGGAAATTCTTCAAGTTGAAATAAAAGGATGCTAAACAGCAACAAAATAGCATAAGAAAGTATGAAACTCACTGGTAAAAATCAACATATATATAAATACAAATACTTTATTACTGTAATGGTGGTGGGTAAATAATTTTTAATTCTAGTATAAAATTTAAATGACAAAAGTATTAAAATGAGTATGACTAAAATATATTAAAAGGTACACAATATGAATAGGTACAAATTGTGAAAACAATAACAGTGTGAGGACAGGAGTTAAATTGTGGAGTTTTTGTGTACATTTAAGCTTAAGTTGTTATCAGCTTAAAATAGACTGTTATAAGATATGTATACATCAAGGTAAGCACACTAATAAAGCCCTAGAAGTTACATAAAAGAGAGGGAAAAACAAATCACAGCATATCAATATAAAAACTCAAAAAAAGGAAGATGGCAAAAGAGAAAAAGACAGGAAAAAAATGAGACCAATGGAAAACAATTTTGTTAAAATGGCAAAAATAAATTCTTCCCTATCAATATTACCTTGGATATAAATGGATTAAACTTCCCAATCAAAAAAAAGTGGCTGAATGGATTAACAAAGCAAGACCTACATGCACAGTGTTGGTAAGAGTCTCACTTTAGCTTTAAGGACACATATAGGCTGAGAGTGAAGGGATGGAAAAAGATACTCTTTGCAAATGGAAAAGCAGAAGAAAGCAGGTGTAGCTATGTCTATATAAGACAAAACAGACTTTAAGTCAAAAACCATCACAAAAACAAAGAAGGGCACTATATTATAATAAAAGTGTCAAACCACTAGAAAGATATAACAAATTATAAACATATATGCATTCAACATTAGAGCACCTAAATATATAAAGCCAATATTGACAGAACTGAAGGGAGAAATAAAAAACATTAAAAATAGCAGTATTCAACTTTTAATAATAAATAAAATATCCAGACAGAAGATCAATAAGGAAAGAGAGGGCTTACAACACTATAAACCAAATGGACTTAACAGACATACACAGAATATCCTACCGTCCGACAACAGAATATACATTCTTCTCAAGCACACATATAACTTTCTCCAAGTTGGATTACATGTTAGGTCATAAAACAAGTCTTAACAAATTTAAGAAGATTGAAATTATACCACATACTTTTCCTAAACAAAATGAAGTGAAACTACAAATCAATAGCAAAAAGAAAATGGAAAAGTTTACAAATATGTGGATTAAGCAAGATACTCTTGAACAACAATTGAGTCAAGAAGAAATCCAAAAGGAAAGTAAAAACTACATCAAGACAAAAATGAAAGCACAATGAATGCACATCATACTGAAACTTATGGGATACAGTAAAAGCAGTACTAAGAGGGAAGTTTATTGTGATAAATACCTATATTTATAATGACCTGAAACTACCTTTACACCTCAAGGAGATAGAAAAAGAAGAACAAACTATCCACATAGTTAGCAAAAGGGAGGAAATAACAAAGATAAGAACAAAAAAAATGGAAAATAGAAAAACAATAGAATAAATCAGACAAGATAAAATTGATAAATCTTAAACTAGATTAATTAATGAAAAAGAGAGAAGACTCAAATAAAAACAGAAATGAAGGAGTAGATATTACAACTGATGCCACAGACATAAAGAGGATCAAAAGAAACTACTATGAACAATTATATGCCAACAAATGAAATAACAGAAAAATGGACACGCTTCTACAAAATATAGCTTATCAAGACTAATCAATGAAGAATTGGCAAGTCTGTACAGATCTATAACTGGGATGGAGATTGAATTAGTAATCAAAAACCTCTCTACAAAGAAAAACCTAGGACTAGATGACTTCACTGAAAGGTGAATTCTACCAAACATTTAAAGAATCCTGCAATCCTTCTGAAACTTTCAAAAAAATTGATGAGGAACACTTCCAAACTTATGTTACCAGCATCACCCTGGTAGCAAAGCCAGGTGAAGACATCACAAGAAATGAAAACTACAGGTAAATACCCCTATGCAGAAATCCTCTACAGAATACTAGCAGCCTGAAACCAATATTACATTAAGGGATAATACACCATGACCAGCTGGTATTTATCTCTGAGATGCGAGGATGCTTCCACATACAAAAATCAATTAATGTTATATACCACCTTATTAGAATAAACGATAAAAATCACATGATCATCTCAATAAATACAAAGCACTGACAAAATTTAACATCCTTTCATGATAAAAAAAAATTCTCAACAAATAAGGAATAAAAGGGAAGTGCCTCAACATAATTAAGGCCATATATGAAAAGCCTGCAATTAACATTATACTCAATGGTGAAAAATTGAAAGCTTTTCCTCTACAACCAAGAACAAAATCAGAATACCTCCTTTAACCACTTGTATTAAACATAGTACTGGAAACCTTAGCCAGAGAAAATAGGGATGAAAAAGAAATAAACGGCATCCTAATTGAAAAGGGAGAAGTAAAATTGTCCGTTTGTACATGACATGATCTCATATGTTGAAATCCCTAAAGTCTCCACCAAAAACCATTAGAACTAATAAGCAAATTCAGTATATTTTCAGGATATAAAATCAACACACAAAAATCAGTAGTGTTTCTGTACACTAACAATAAACTATCTGAAAAGTAACTCAGGAAAGCAATCTCACAACAGCACCAAAAATAATAAAATAGGCTGGGCATGGCGGCTCATGCCTGTAATCTCAACACTTTGGGAGGCCAAGGTGGGAGGATCACTTGAGGCCAAGAGTTTGAGACCAACCTGGGAAACATAGAGAGACCCCATCTCTATGAAAAAAAAATACAAAAATAAACTTTCAAAAGAATAAAATACTTAGAAATAAACTGAACTAAGGAAATGAAAAATGTATGTACTAAAATCCATAAAACATTGATGAAAGAAAATAAAGAAGACACAAATGGAAAGCCATCTGATGTTCATGGATTGGAAGAATTAATATTTTAAAATTGCAATACTATCCAAAGCAATCTACAGATTTAATGCAATTTCTATCAAAATTCCAATGACACTTAAAAAAAAAACAATTCTACAATTCATATGGAACCACAAAAGACTACTTTAAATGCCAAACCTATTTTGAGAAAGGAGAACAATGCTAGAGGAATCACACTTGCTAATTTTAAAATATATTACAAAGCTACAGTGGTCAAAATAATATGGTACTATAATAAAGACCAACATATACACCAATTAAACAGAATATAAAGCCAAAAATAAATTCACAAATATATGCTCAACTGTTCTTCAACAATGGTGACAAATACACAAAAAGATAAAAAAAAAAAGATAGTGTTTTCAACAAATTGTGCTGGGAAAACTGGATGTCCACATGCAAAAGAAATAATGAAATTGGACCTTTGTTTTATATACCGTACACAAAAATCAATTCAAAATGAATTAAAGAGTTAAATGGGGCCCCAAACTGTAAACTTCTTAAAGAAATCATAGGGGAAAACTTCATGACATTGGTCTTGGCAATGATTTCATGGATATGACATCAAAAGCAGAGGCAACATAAATTGTGGGACTGCATCAAACTAAAAAGCTTCTGCACAGCAAAGGGAACAATCAACAAAAGTAAAAAGGCAACCCACAGAATGGGAGAAAATATTTGCAAACCATATATCTGAATAAGGGTTTATCTCCAAAATATATAAGACACTCCTTCAACTCAATAGGAAAACAATATTAATCCAATTACAAAAAGGGGTAAGGATTTGAAAAGACTTTTCTCACCAGATGACATAGAGGTGGCCAACAGCTATGTGAAAAAAAGTCACTAATCACCAGGAAAATGCAAATGAAAATCACAATGAAATATCACCTCACACTCAGGATAGCTATTATCAAAAAAAACAAAACACAGCAAATGTTGTCAAGGTTGTGGAGAAATCAATACCCTTCCATACTGCTTATGCGAATGCAAAATAGTGCAGCTGCTCTGGTAAACAGTATGGAATGTTCTCAAAAAACTAAAAATAGAACTACAATATAATCCAGCATCCCATTTGTAGATATTTATCTAAAAGAATTGAAATCAAAATATCAAAAACATATTAGCATTCCCAAGTTTATTGCAGCACTAGTCACATTAGCCATGATGTGGAAACAATCTAAATGTTCATCAACAGATGGATGGATAAAGGAAACGTAGTGTACACATACAATGAAATACTATTCAGCCTTTACAAAGCACGACGTTTTTCAATATTGACAATATTTATGAACCTGGAGGACTTTATGCTCAGTGAAAGAGCCAGTCACAGAAAGACAGTTATGATTCCACTTATATGAGATATTTTAAAAAGTGAAGCTTATGAAATTAAAGAGTGGAATGATGGTTGCCAGGGGCTGGGTACTTTTTACTGGTAACTGTCATATATGGCACCAGTATAGTATGTGGCACTCAAGTGCCTTCCAGGCAACATAGTTTAGTATATTCTGTTACTTTTTTTTCTATATTTCTACATGCCTTTTCTTCTTGAACATTGATATTGGAGATTGGTTCTATAGGTGATACAAAAAACCTGACTTAAGGGGCTCTATCCCTATATTCTCTCTAGTGTATTAATTGCTTAATAAATACATCTTAGAAAGTAAACTTACTATAGTATCATGCTTAATATTAAGGAAATGTACATTGATTGATGGGTTAGTGATTTCAGTAGATATTTTGTTGTTTTTTTTTCTTGCAAGTTTTTATTCACTCTTTTGGCAAAAGTAGGGCAATAATGCACTGTTGTGCTCTGTAGCCTATAAATATACAGAGGAAAAGACCCACTCTGTTTTATAGCTGTTGATTTAAGTTATTAAAGATGGAGGCATCTCCGTAATCTTAACCAGAACTGAGCACATCCTTCAAAATGTGGTGGCAATGCCTTTAGTGATTTCAGGGATGCCCTGTGTCAAGCTGGTCATAAACACAGCAGAGAGAACATGTCACCAATAATTGAGAAGGCTTTTGTTGGTACTTTCCACAGGGCTTCCAGTGCTGAGATGGAAAACAAGAGAAAGATGTGAAGCTCTTTAATGGTTTATTCTATGTCTGTGTTTCCTTTGTTTCATTAAAAACAAATCAAACAAAATGTTTTCTAATGCCACAAGGAAAAAGGGCTTCAGTTAACAAAATTAAAGTAACGTTTCTCCAAATACTTTATTTGCTGAAAAAGAATAAGTTTAGCCTTTTCTGGGAACATTAATTTTGTATGATACTTTCTTAGAATTCTACACACTTGGTATAGTGCCACATATTCTGATTGTAGCCCTTCTTAGCTGCTTAACAAAATGAGATTCAGATCATCTTACTGGTAGTTATTCACACAATTCTTCCTGTTTTCCAAATACTCCTTTAATCATAGCAGTATTTTAATCATCATGGTCCTAAATCTTTAGAAGGCATTGTTTGCTTTTGCTATCCAGAGAAAGCAGTATATTACTGCCACATTCAAATTATTAATGAGAAATTTGATAATAGATTAGTGAATGTTGAAAAAAAGCAAAATTAAATTTTGAAACTTTAAAAAAAAGTATTGGAGCATTTTTCAGAGAAGCATATTAAAAAGTCAGTAAATGTAGGGTACATACCAAAACTTAAAGAAATAATATTTAGTAAGAAAAATCACTAAGGCAAAGTAGGGATGAAAATTTTCAACTTATGAATAGCCAAGTCTAATTAAATTTACTCTTTCCCACTATAATATTGCATTTTGGATCAAAGTCAAATTTTAGTATATTTTATTTTATAAACATAGGAAAAAATAACTTTCTACTTATATTTTGGTATCTGTTTATTACCTATATTTATAATCTTCTAGGTCTCCAAAATTTGGAGAGTTGCTTGAGAAAATTACTGATAGAGAAAGTTATCTAAGAATTTAAGAGAAAATGTTTCCGTTCTATCCAAATTAATTAGTGTCCTCAACTGGTACTTTCTTGACATTCTTGGGTCTACCAATTATGAGAGCAAAATCTTTGTGTAATAGCCATATTAAAGTTGGTGAAAAGATAAAGTGCCTTATTTTCATGGGTTTGTGAAGCCTTTATGTTACTATTTTTGTTTAAGTATAGTCAAGAGTGGAAATAATAATTATGTTCAAAACTACCTTTGAATAAAAGACATTATTTTATTCATCCAGTGAGAAATATTTTTAAAATATTATTACTGTGTAGTATTCTGTTTCAGGTAAAATCTAATTAGCAAAATAATCTTTTAAAAAACTGACTGTAGTAAATAAAGCAAAACCTGTCTTTATTTTCAATACTGTTAAGCTTTTAATTAACAGAAAACCACCATGGGTTGCTTCTTTAGAATACCACTAAATGTTAGAGACATCGTATACTGTACAGGAGTGTCACTACTGGATGAGGATGTCTGGGAATTCATATGGATGAAATTCCATTCCACCACAGCAGTTTCTGAGAAGAAAATATTATTGGAAGCCTTAACTTGCAGTGATGACAGGAATTTATTAAACAGGTAGGCCGACTGATTTTCTAAATGTGTTTCTCTAATGAAAGTATTCTGTTAATCAAATTGCTCTGAAGTTGCTTTTATTTACTTGAATATATGCTAGTTATTTTAAAATATATCTTCCTAAACATGAGGAAAACTGCCATGTTAATGACTAAAGCTACTTGATTTCAGAGGTTATATCTTTTTATGAGTATTTATTTTATATAATTTATATATGTTTAAGAAGATATTTTATTATAAAAGTGTTTAATATAAAGAATTTAAAAGGAGAATTTGAATCATCAAACCAGAATTGTGATATATCCTTTCACAAGATTTTTTTAGAATTTAATGTTTTTAATTAAAATACTATGAGTTTGATCCTCTTTTATAAACAGAAATGTGTTCTATTTATAAGTTTGCATTATTAAAGATTGCACTAGACTATTCTTTTGAAGAATATGACAAACTAGGTCCTATAATTTTAGTAAGATTATAAAAATGTTTAAGTTATTGGACTAAAAATTTTTACAAAATTCTATCTTTGAAGGCTTCTAAATCTGTCACTGAATTCTGAGGTGGTGCTGGATCAAGATGCAATTGATGTCATAATCCATGTAGCTCGAAATCCACATGGTCGAGACCTTGCCTGGAAGTTTTTCAGGGATAAATGGAAGATATTAAATACCAGGTAGAAATTAGAATTCTTACTTGAATGAGTAAATTAAAGCCGACATAGGAGGAATAAAGGCCCAAGTTTTGTGTTAAAGCTAAGATCCATGCAATAGGTTTAGATATTAAAATATTCAACCAAGATAAATGTTGCCACTCCCGTGGAACTCCAAATTATTTTTAAAATTCTATAATTCATTTATTAAAATTGATAAACTTAATTAATTATATGTGCAAACATTTGGAGTATAAAAGGCTTAGCTGAGCAACTTTCCTGGAAAATCTATCAGACTGTCCAAAGTTGAAGACACTGTATCATAAAACCCCTGTATCTTGAATATGTTATAGAAATGATTTATAAATACAGTGGTATTATAAAAATAAAACGTTAATTACTTCCGTATAATTGTTTTAAATTTTCTTTAAATATAAATATCTTAAAATACCTGAATAAAACCATGATATAGAGAAGGAATATTAATCATTTGAATCATTGTATAATTCCAGTTGCAGTAAAATTTACTCCCAGGACATCTTGTTTCATGGTGAGAATTCTTTAGCCTCAATTTTATAAGATATTTCATTATGCATTTAAATATATTATAATACACACTAATTTATTACTCTGATAATCTCTATGGCCTATTAAAATTCAATTTATTATAAAGCATGTAAATGCTGCTTGTTTTTCTTTAACTTAAATGTTCCCAGACAGTAAGCAGACTTACTGTTCTGTCTCTGAAAAGCTAGTGTATAAACTTTATTATTTTTAAGCATACCTTCATCAGTTGCCCTGGTATAATCAGTTCAATTAGAATGGCTGTGTCATATTAAAACACTCTATCCATAGGTATTTCATTGTCAGAAAACACTGATATTTCTATAAGACACATTGACTTTTTTAATATTTTCAGCTCAGATCTTATAATAGTTGGACGATTAAAGCTTGCTTTGCTTTTGTGCATATAATAGAGTGAATAGACACTTAAGGTAAAATTAATGTATACAAACATTTAACTTAAAAGAATATCAAACATCTACCAATACACAGTTTCTTTAGGGAGTGGTTTTGTAAATCAGCGTTCAGGGCAATGCAATTATAGGCATATATAGTTTATTGCCTACCAAAAAATGTTTGGTTCCTGATATGCTTATTTTGTCTCACTGAATCCATGATCTCCATCCTATCTAAAAATACGATGGTGTTTACACTGACAAATAGGAGCATAATCTTCACTGGCTCCTGCTCCTCTGTCGATTTTTTGAATGCTGGCATTCACGGAGCTCTGTTGAAGGCACTCTTCTTCCCACTCTGCAAGTTCTTCCTAATTTTAGATGCCTTCTACTCTCATGGTTTCAATTACTCCCAAATCTGTATCTCTAATTCAGACATTTTCCCTGCCTTTCTCCCTGTGATGGATAATTGGCCATAGAGGTTTCCTTTATGAGTGTGCCTGCAAAGCTAAATGGGTGATTTTTCTTTTATCCTCCTTTTCTCAGTAAATCTTGTAGCCATCCACCAATTGCTCAAGCCCAACATCTGGAAGTCTACATAGGCGTCCCCTTTTCTCTTGCCATATATAACAATTAGACTCTAGGTTATATCAATTTAACATTTTCTAAAGTTTGTTGAATTATTCCTCTCTTTTTTTGTGACCACTTCCCCAGTGCAGGTTCTCATCTCTTCCCAGTACTCTTACAATAATAGCCTTCTGTCTCACTGCCTCTATAATTATATAAACACACTTTAGCCTCTTCCCTTCATCCCAAGAACCTTTCAGAAAAGCAAATGTGATATTTCCCTGCTATAAAACTTTCTATGTGAGATTTATAATTTAAGCCCCTTAATATGTCCTCTGCATATTTTGTCAGCGTCTTGTTCTTCAATCTTCAGGCTCACAATGTATCAGTGTATGGACTAATTTTTGTTGTTGTTGTTGTTGTTTGTTTTTTGAGACAAGGTCTCACTCTGTCACCCAGGCTGGAGCGCAGTGGCACAATCACAGCTCTTTGCAGCCTTGACCTCCTGAGTTCAGGTGATCCTTCCACTTCAGTCTCCTGAGTAGCTGGGACTACAGACATACACCACCACACCCGGCTAATTTTTCTATTTTTTGTAGAGAGAAGTTTTCCCCATGTTGACCAGGCTGGTCTTGAACTCCTGAGCTCAAGCAATCCACCTGCCTTAGCTTCCCAAAAGTGCTGGGATCACAGGCGTGAGCCACCGCCTTGGCCTGTATGCACTGTTAATATCAAACTGCTTGTAGTTGTCTGCACAAACCATGTCTTTTCACGTCTCTTTTTCTTTGTTTATGTTCATCTTCTGCCTAAAATTACTTTCTTTCCTGTTGCTCAGAACTACTCCATGGTCAATCTAGATGCCATTTTCTCTCAGAAGCCATTCCCAAGACCCTACAGATAAAGAAATCCTCTCTGAGCACTGTGTATAATTTTATCACCACATTTAGCCACAATACGTGGAAATTATCTGATTACATGTCTAGCTCTTCAAGTGGATAGTATAATACCTTCAAGGAACAGACTGTACCTTATTATTTTCTTATTATATCTTCACAGGACAATATAAGTAAAAACAACTAACACTTCTTTAGAAAAAAATTGTTATTTGCCTGCATAATTGGACAATTTTGTACCCACATACTGATTGAAAATGATCACTTACATTATTATTGAATGCCTATTTGTTTGCTTTTACTTAGCTAGCTTTTTTTCTGTGGAATAGTTCAATGTCAGAATTACAACAAATCTCAGTGGTCATTTAGTTCAACCTTCTCATTTTATAGATGAGAAAACTAAGTTCTACAGAAGCTAAATTAAATCTTAAATTAGATGCTTAAGAGCCTACAAGTTAGGGAAGCACTGGAAAACCTATTATAACAGTGTGTAGATCCTTGTCTTTAAAAACCCAGAGTCTTATTTTTATTGTACTCACCTTAGTTCTAAAAGTATGATAATCTGTGATAGGTATCCTTAGCATAGAAGGGACAAATCAGTAAAATGAGTATTCTTTTCAACTCACTGACACAAGTTGTTCCTTGTCTTGGGTCAAAAGTCAAGTAATTGTGTCTGTAGTACAAGGATTAGGCAATCCAAATGAACAAGTAGATGTTTTACTTTAATGTACACATGAAAAAAGCTAATATTTTGGAGAACATTTTTGAGAATGCATTTTGCCTCGGTTTCTAAGAATGAAATATAAAAATGCATTTTTGAGAATGTATTTTGCATCAGTTTCTAAGAATGAAATAAGAAAATGCATTTTTGAGAATGCATTTTGCCTCAATTTCTAAGAATAAAATAATATGAAAATGCCAGTGTCAATTATGACTAATCATATCAAAGGATCTGACAGTGCCCAGGTTGATCCTGCAGCTCCTCTTGCCTTTTATGGAATCATTTTCCCTTCCAGTAAGCTAGGTTGCTTTGTAATTGAAAGTTTTAAAATATTTTGTTCTCAGGCCTTGGCTTGGAAATATACTGTTAATCCCTAAATCCAGTTTTAGAGGGCCCCTTTAAAAAATTTGCTACAACTCAGACTTCTCTGAAACACTGTGAACCATATTAGGTGGGACCTGATGATATCCCAAAGCCATAACTCTTTGTCCCTCCCTGACTCCCTAGAGAAATGGGCTTGAGTGCTCAGAGATCTGGCAGTCTCTGACAACACTGAGCAAATCGAACCCTTGAGAAAACTCTAAAAAATCTTTATAGTAATATTTTTTAAAATTATGACCTGCATTGACATTAAGACTCTTTTTTTCTTTTGAGGTATGGAGAAGCATTGTTTATGAATTCCAAACTCATCAGTGGTGTCACAGAATTTCTTAATACTGAAGGTGAACTCAAAGAGGTAAATATTTTAAGATGAAGTCTAATTATTTTCTTTTATAAACATTTGAAATTATGCATTTACTTCAGTCATTTCTTTCCAACAGATTCACATCCATTCCTTTTACTTACACACGCACACCACACACACACACACACGTTAAAGACTACTCAATTCATAATTTGCAAAGAGTATTTTTACATGTCAAACATTGAAGGCCTGCAAGGAATGTTTGAATGTAGTAATTTTCAAACCTGGAGACCCACAATCCACTTCAGAGATCATTGATCCAATCAGCTATTCCTCAAATGATTCTATTAACCCACTGTAGGATTCACTAAATAACAAAACCATCCTGTCAGTGACTCAGTATTTGTATAATGGACAAAGGTTGGTGTTGAGATATAGACCATGTGTCTCACTGCTTTGTGGTCAGCCTTAAACAGACAACGGACATACTGTACATAATAATATTGCTTTGTGCTATGTAGCCTCTTAAATGAAACAAATTCTTAAGCGTAGAAAGGAGCATATCTGGTAATACATATTGAGATTAATAAATTGCTTTAAAACTGCTTGGTACAATCACAAGTGAATTTTATTAGTGAAAATAAACTTGATTTTTAAGGACTGGTGTCCAGGTTATGGAGTATCTAACATTTCCTTACTATGTTGTTTCTGGTTTATTACTCTGGAAATTTAAGCCAGCTAGTTTTGTTTGTTTGTTTTGCCATTAAGTCACCTCACTAATATAGAGAGATGAGAAATGGGGAGAGGGTTAAGGATGAAGGAAAAATAAGCAAAATATAGACTCTTTTAATTGATTACAATGGATCGCACTTCAAACATTGATGGCCTTTTCTTGTGCTCCTGTTCTCCATTGTAAAATATAGCTGATATTTGACATTGAGAATGATGGTTTTCTCAGTTTTCACTGACAGAATGCCTAATGCTGTGCCCCACAGCTAACCACACTGAGCACCATTCCCTAGAAGCATCAACCCTGGCACCATCCTTAATATCTTCTAATATTGTCCAGTTTCCTATGATTATCCCGTGTGCACTAACTTGGTTTCTTTCACACCATGAGCTAAGCTAAGCTAAGTCTCTGATTGTAATGATTTGAAATTCAGTCTTTATCCCTGCTATGTGTGTTCCCAACCCTGAAGGATTAAATTTGAAAGCCCCAGAACATATTTTACTATTTTTTAAATAAAGGAAGCTAAATGGAAAGGACTGTTTTCATATCCATAAAAAACAGAAAGAAAGAACAAGTAAATTAATGATTGCTTCCAATTTTCTCTGTATTTAAATGAAGTACTTTTAATTTCATGATTTCACATTCAATAATCTGGGAATTAAAGACTCATTTAGTCACAACCTGTGCAGCCATTGAAGTGAGCACAGAGCAAAATCTCTCCCTCTTCTCTTCTCTCCTGTTTGCTTCCTTCGTTCTCTGTGCTTCTCTCCTTCTCTTTTATCTCCTCTCCTCCCTACCTCTCTCTTATCCCTTCTTTAATTTTTCTTCTTCTTGCTTTCCTCTAACTCCGTTTGCCTTTCATATTTTCCTGGACTTGGTATTACCCAGGCTATGAAAAGAAAATATTTTAGACATTTAATTGATTTTATCACATACTGACTGTTTTGTCTTACATATTTCACTGATTTATTAAATTTTTACACTTTATTTAATTGCCATTTTAGATGTTTCAAAGTGCTCCTATAATGAAGGGTATAATTTCAAAATTGAAACTAAATTATGGCTTTTATTTCATTATCTACAAAGCAGCTAACATCACAGTGCAGTCTCTAAGTGGCATGAGGAATGAATCTCTTCACTCTGGAGTTATTTACTCTGGCTTAGCAGTTTAACAGATGCTGCCTGAGGCTTTTGAATACTTACATCATCTCTAAGATTGAGGAACATTATTGTCAGATGGGGTGGGGGTTTTGGTTTTTATGGTGATAACCACCCTTTCTTAAATAGAAAAGTCTGAGGAGAATTCACTTGCATTCTACCATAACCCATAAGCCTCATAAGCAGAAAGCCCAATGGGCTCCCTTTGGATATGACATATTCTTATTTCCAAGGGTTTATAGATCAAAAGGGAATCAGCATCTTTATGAATTCTGAAAACTCATTCCAGATTTTAATGATCCTCATCAGCTTTAGGTGGATTCAGTAAAGACGCTTACATTGTTCCATGGTTTTCTCCCAAAAACAGTATTCTAGTACCTGAAACTGGAGTTTCCTTTTAATTTTAATTGCATGGCTCTAGCAATTTGAACAATATTTCTTCATAAGGCAATCTGTTATTTATTTAATTTTAAACTAATGGAGATGATCTTCTTGAACCTCAGAGGCCCTTGCCATTTTTCCACATTAATGACTATTAACCAGTCCTTTCACATGCCCATTTTTCTGCTTTTTAAACCTAACATACCTCACTGTTGTGGAGGAACATAGATCCTATGCATCAAAGGCATTACATTTACAGTTTTAATATTGAAGATATAAACTTTGTAATAGGGCAATAGTTAATTCTATTCATTTACATAGTTATTAAGAGTATATTATGTTTTACAATCTACTCTAAAAATAATTTATCTTATGATGTTGATATCTAGGATACCCTGAAATAAGAGGAAATTTTAATGCTGAAATCTTTTTAATAGAAAAATTAACAAACATGCTTCAAAGTTTTATGCTAAGAAGATAGGGAGCACAAACAACATTGCCATTTTATTAAATGTTATTTTATAAAAGTGCCTAAAGTTGCAACATTTTAAAATAAAATCATATCATGGTATAGTTAGAAAACACAATTTAAAACAAAAACAAAAACTAATGGTGTAGGGTCCAGCCCTACAGGACTTAGCAGGTATTCTCCCCGCTTGCGGAGACAAGAGATTGTAAGAAATAAAGACACAAGACAAAGAGATAAAGAGAAAACAGCTGGGCCCCGGGGACCACTACCACCAAGATGAGGAGACCGGTGGTGGCCCCAAATGGCTGGGCGTGCTGATGTTTATTGTATACAAGACAAGGGGGCAGGGTAAGGAGGATAAGTCATCCAAGTGATTGATAAGGTCAAGCAAGTCACATGATCATGGGACAGGGGGCCCTTCCCTTTTAGGTAGCCAAAGCAGAGAGGGAAGGCAGCATATGTCAGCGTTTTCTTCTACGCACTTATAAGAAAGATCAAAGACTTCAAGACTTTCACTATTTCTTCTACTGCTATCTACTACGAACTTCAAAGAGGAACCAGAAGTACGGGAGGAACGTGAAAGTGGACAAGGAACATGAGCATTGAAGCACAGCACCACAGGGAGGGGTTTAGGCCTCTGGATGTCTGTGGGTAGGCCTGGATAATATCCAGCCTCCCACAAGAAGCTGGTGGAGCAGAGTGTTCCCTGACTCCTCCAAGGAAAGGAGACTCCCTTTTGCAGTCTGATAAGGAACGGGTGCCTTCCCTGGCACTGGCATTACCGCTTGACCAAGGAGCCCTCAAACGGCCCTTATGCGGGCATGACAGAGGGCTCACCTCTTGCCTTCTAGGTCACTTCTCACAATGTCCCTTCAGCACCTGACCCTATACTCGCCGGTTATTCCTAGTTTATGTTAGTAATGCAACAAAGAGTAATATTAAAAGCTAATGATTAATAATGTTTATACTAATGATTGATAATTGTCCATGATCATCTCTGTATCTAATTTGTATTATAACTATTCTTTATTCTAACTATTTTCTTTATTACACTGCTACAGTTTGTGCCTTCAGTCTCTTGCCTCGGCACCCGGGTAGTTCTTCGCCCACAAATGGCAGCATAAATCCTACCAAAGAGTGGAAGAAATAAGCAAACTAGAATGCTAACTGCCTTTCTTTTACCCCAAGCCCTCTAAGGTGAGGCAGGGGTTTGTAAGGCACTGTGAGCATGCGCTAGGGCCAGTCAGAGGCAATTCCAACCACATGTTGGATATCAGAGCTATGGAGAATTATGGGGCATAAGATCAATTAATGGCAACTGTAGAAAGTAGGCCAGATGTGTTCTGATGAGTAAGTTCCTCTTAAGATACATATGAGGCACCTCAGACTCTCTGAGCCCACAAGGGGAGTATTTACTGCACTTAAATCATGATTTAAGAAGTGAATCTCTAGAGACCCACCAGTTCACATTTTCTGTTGAGAGTTCTTTTGCAGGATAATCCAACCTACTATCTCTCTGTCAATAAACGTTCATATTCAAACCCATAGTTTGCCTTTGAGGAGGACTTAAGAGTTTTACTTTATGTGTTTAGGCTGGCTTACCATCTCATAAGGAAGCCAAGAGCATGCTCCACAGAGTTAAAGTTGCTAAAGGGTCATTTATGACTCTCTGGTGTATTCAGTGACTGCCTAGGAAAAAAAGTAATAATTCAGAATATACTTTAAAAGGAGCATATGTAATTTTTTTCCGATTGACCTATAACATGTAAATAATGCCATTATAATATCATATTTTTATAATAAATTAAAACAAAATTCAAAACATAGATCAAAATGTATTACTTTTTGCCTTAAGGATATAGACTGGATGAGTCTGAACATAAATATATAAGTACAAATGTATTCTTGTGTTAATCAGATAAAGTTTAAAATTATGATTCAAGTACTTCCATTAGACTCCCCCTTTATATATGTGTGTATATATATTTCTATCCCCATGGCACAATGTCTGCAACATTAATATTTATTAACTCCAATCCCTTTGCTTCTTCCTTTTTTCTTAATATATGTAATTTGGTCAAATGCCATATCAGTTTTAAGGACAACACCCATAAGTCTTTGTTATACATTGGCTATTTTACATGTTTGTTATGAAAGCACAGTGATTTAGAAATCTTCTAAAGGATGTACCTCTGAGATACAGTTATCCATTGCTAATGCTGCTGGGCAAAGGGCTTTGTAGGAAAGCAGAGTAAAAACTCTGAGAAAACCCATCAGTATCATGTAATCAAAGTAACACTTATAAATAAACTAAGCTATCCATGAACTAATTTCTAAATCAATTCAGAAAGTTATAACCGCATTTTAACTCCATCCTTGACTACCATTTCTGCCTGCCCCTGAGCCAATCTTGATACACTGCATTTCCCTCCTGGCATATCTTCCATGTGGTGCCCACCATATGATGAATTACACCCCACACTAATTACACCACATAATGATTCTGTGTTGCAAGTTGATTTTTCACATTTGTCTATTAGCATCACAATTGTTAGTTCATTGCCAGCTTCTTAAGATATATCAAACAGAAAGGAAAAACTTCTGGTATTTAATCTTGAAGTAAAATCTTGGAGTATTTCCAGAGTATGTGAACTCTCCAAATAAAATTTTATGTCAAAAAATATGGCAAAACATTTAAGAATTATAACTTAAATGCTCAGATTCTCCAGCTAAATAAGACCATATCCCTCCTTTATTCTTTCAAAATCTAGTTACGCAGGTGATTGCCATGTCATTAATCATACAATTTTTATAGCACCATTACTTTTTTTCCACTAGACAATACTTTGGTTATTCAATGACATCAAAGATAATGTCAAGCCCAATACCACTCATTTGGAGAAGATGAAAAATAATTTTCTCTCTGCAGACAAAATGTGAACTTTAATCCTTATATTCAGTGTTTAAGGCTACTTGGTGCATTGTATACACATTGAAGTTAGAACTAGTCCTTGCCACAATCCCATCAACTGATTTTGAAATGATCAATTAAATGTCTGTTTTAATATCTAATCATGAAACATGAAGCTGAATTTGGAGCTATTTAAGTTGTAATGTCCACTGTTTTTTTTCTGTTCCAAAATCAATTACATCACAACTAATTGACATAATCTGTCATATTTCATTCAGTTGCCAAGCTCACTCCACAGTACTAAATATATCTTCTATAGTGGTCATGGCATTTTGTTTCAAATATATTGTTTTTTAATGTTTCAAATAGATTCTTGTTCATGTTTGTTGGACATGAGTTCTTTTTAAGACAGGCAGATTTACCATTTAAAAATTTCTCTTTCCAGCTCAAGAACTTCATGAAAAACTATGATGGGGTAGCTGCTGCTTCTTTCTCACGAGCTGTGGAAACTGTCGAAGCCAATGTGCGCTGGAAAATGCTTTACCAAGACGAGCTTTTCCAATGGTTAGGAAAAGCTCTAAGACACTAATATATGTATCTTATAAACAAACAATTCAACTCAGAAGTTTATGAGAAGACACGCTTTTTGTGGAATGAGGAAAATGTACTACCTAGAAAATGGCCAGATTTTCAGTGTTAACGTGTGGGAGGAATTTTTTTTTTAGTTTTTATTTTTTGGTTTTGGGGGATATTTTTTATTTGTTTCATTCATTCTGTTCTGTTTCTCTACTGGGTGTTCCTCTCTAAAGAAACTCTTGCAAGTGAAACTAGCCATGATTGCTTCAGCTGTACATTCCTTGCTGTACAGGACCAAATATGATAGTGATGCATGTTGATGTTACAGTCAATTTGGAAAAACATATTCAGAATATCTGTGCATGGATATATTGTCCTGCCTGTGTTCCAGCATGCTTATTTCAAACGTCCAGTGTTGTGTGTGAATATGTGTTACACCTAGGATGGGCATTATGCAAAAGCACAAAGATTATATATGACAATCAGTATTGCAATGAAAGAAAAACTAAAAACAGAAATGATATTCTCAATTTTGGGCAATGTGAGAGGTAAAATAGCCCTTGACATGATGAACATCACTTATTTCAGCACTTGGATTGTCTGGCAATGATTACTGTGTTGCTAACTCATTTTCTTTGAGTTAAAGCTGTGTATACATTTTAAAAGGCATATAGATAGTGTATGCATATGTATATGTACATAGGGAAGCCCCATATGTATATAGTATGTTGTACACTGCACATGTACAAAGAATGTCTTCAGATCAAAGAAAATTTATCTCTTTTTATAAACTTAAGGACAGTTGCAAAAGGCTTCAAGGAATTTATCTCAACATTATTCTTTCTATGTCCTAACTAAATTTCTCAACTGTTATGAATTTTTCATCTACTTCTTGAACAGTGGTCTATTCTGCTACATGAAGATGAATACAAACAAAATTTTTGTATAAACTACTATTCCAGTTCTCCTGTGTCAGTCTTGCCTATAGATTTTGCCATCGTTTTCTGTCAAAGTTCCTTTTGCATGAAACAATTATGCAAACTTATAATTATTAGTGCTGAAAAAGAGTTTATTTTCCATCTTGTTTGTTTTCCTACCTTATGCTGAGTAGTCCAGAGAGTTAAAAAAATTCTCTGCATGTTGGTCTTTTAAGTCTGTTTTGCTCTAATCCTCCATTAAGCGAGCATACCTCAAGTGGGTCTATTAGCATTTAATGACCTTTTGTGCCAGTTGTGCCATCCCTTAAGATGAAAAGTTCCTTTTCTTGTGTTAATGTACAAAGCTTTTCTTTTGGCACTGACAACTGTGTTCTACCTGGGAATTTTGAATAGCCATTTTCATGGCTGTGTGTTGTGTAACACAAATGTTTTTAAATGGTATTCTCACCCAGTAGGCCAGCTCTCCAAACGTTGCTTAGATGCTTCAAAATTAGCATATTTTAAGTTTACCAGTATAAAATACCAATGCAACTACTCTACATAGCCAAATGTTTGTAAATCACGTCTTATTTTCCTGAGGTTTTTCACTCCACCAAATCTTACAAATCATTGAAAGAAATATATTCTAACAGTACGCACTGAATAGTGAAAATAATTAGACATTTTAAGAACCAGAGCCATAGAATTATTTTAAATTAGTAGAAAAGAGGAGCTATTTCCGAATCTATAGAATAAAGTACCACCTAAAACTGAATTTTATCATATAAGCAAGTAATACCTATTAGTCATACCTAAATTTTTCAGCACTTCATTCAATTAAAATACATGAATTTTAAATATTTTACATGATGTGAATAGGCATGATAATACTTTTAGTATAAAATCTAAACTTTTTCCATTTATCAGAAATGATAAAATCCAGTTACCACATATCACGTTTATAAAATCCTTAATTAAATGAGTAACTTCTAAAATATAACAATACTAAATATCACACTGCGATGGAGGTCCCAAATATGTGGTCTATCACCACTGAATTCATGTAATAGATAAGAAAAAAATTAGAGGTGGATGTCTTGTTTTGTGTCATGAATTACTAAAATCTCTTAGTAGTTGTGGTATATTTTTGAGTAAAATTACCATTTCCAGATTTGAGTTTGAAGGGCTTTTATAGTTGTATTTTCCTCCTCACTGTTAATAATCATAATCCTTTTTCAGTATTTTAGTGGCCTTGAACAACTGGTTTATCTACAATCTCAAATCCTAAGTGTATAATTATGTGCAATGTTCAATACCTCATATAATACTTGCTCAACAGTATAGTGGTACCAATGGCATTAAGATGGTGTTTTTGTTCTACATATTTTTCAATAATTTATTCTTTCTAATGTTGAAATTATATCAGGCTTTACCGGTTTTTTTAGTTGTTTAAATAAGTAATATTTTCAAAAGAATAAAATAACCAATGATATCTCTTGGAATAATCTGTAAAACGTAGTTATAAAATTCTATTTTCTACTTAGAGTTTTTATCTTTTCTTTTTTGTCGGCTTTACAAATTATATGTATGCATGAAATAACTAACTGTTGAAAGTGTCCAACCTCCAGCCATAGCAATTTGCTGTGCCAATATGTGTACAAAAAAGTAGTTTCAATTAGAAAGGACAACATTATTTATCACATTGAGTATTAAACATTTCCAGGTAACTCGTAAATAAAAAGATTTCCCCATTTTTACACATTTTTTCTTAAAATTTTTCTATAATCTTTGAAGTTTCTAAAATACACAATCTCAACCTCTAAGACTAACATCTACAATACTAGGTCTATTCTTGAGTTTCAATAACATGTATTTTAGTTGGGTCATAAACTTGCATTATTTTATATTATCTCCAGGACAATTATATCATAGGACTAAGATTTTTGTGATAGTATTATTTACAAATATTATAAGTATAATATCTTGTGAGGCTATTATTAAGGTTATGCCATGTATTGATAAAATGCATTGCTTTCTCAAAGAACTGTTACACATTTTGTTTTATTTGACTCATCACAAAAACATAATAAATGTTGTGAGCCCTAATATTCTGATGAGAAAACTGGGGCTCAGGTAGCAACATGAGCTATTTAAAACTACAAAATAGGGCTGGGCACAGTGGCTCATGCCTGTAATCCCAGCACTTTGGGAGGCTGAGGGTGGGAGGATCACTTGAGCCCAGGGGTTTGAGACCAGTCTGGGAAACATATTGAGGCCCCATTTCTATAAAAATAAAAATGAAAACTAGCCAGGCATGGTGGTGTGCACCTGTTGTCCCAGCTACTGGGGAGGCTGAGGTGGGAGAATTATTTAAGTCCAAAAGTTCAGTGCTCTAGTGAGCTATGATCACTGTACTCCAGCCTGGGTGACAGAGTGAGATCCTGTCTCTAAAAAAATAAAATAAAATCACAATGTTTGTTGTTATTTTGGGAACCAATATAACAACCTAAGTCTATCACAACATCATTCCCCAACTAAAATATAAATATATGTTGAAAATATCTCTATCGATTGCATTAATTGGAGATTTTCCAAATACTAGACCAGCATCAAAATACACAGTTAAATATATTTGCAATAATTCCATTGTTTGTTAACTTTTGCATTTCTAATTTGCAGGATGTTAAACAACTGGATGAAATGTTATGATTTAATTTGGTCAGTATAAATAATCAAATATTGGGACAAATAATTTAATTCATTTAGTTTATTAATTATATTTCCTGTCTGTATCTTTTATTGAACATTGTTTAAACATAACCTTAAAGTACTGATAATTTGCTTAATTTTCAACACAAATTTATCTGACAAATTCTGTCTATAGTAACAGATGGTCAGAATGCAGATAAATTGTGTGCATCTCAATCAGTAAAAATAATATTCAGTAAAATGTCTATAAATCTATGCAGATTAAGTTGTGAAAAACAATGCAATTTTAGTACTACTGGATTAGATGCAGTAAAGGAATCCCTAAGGAAGTTTACAATAATATATTTAATTAAAATCTACTGGCAATTAGAATTTTAAGGAATTCTTTTCTAAGAAGTTGGAGAACCTAAAATAGCTTGCTTATTCGCCTGGGTACTCTCATGAAGTAACCATGTACACCTAATAAAGAAATAGTAAAAGCACATATAATGAAAAATAATTAAGATTTCTTACACCTGATTTTTTCATTATCAGAGATAATTATCAGAGATAATTTTTCATTATCAGAGATCATAGCTGAATTATCATTTGACAATACATAAGAATATATATTGTATAGATACAATATATAACTATACTTAAAGAAATATTTATTGAGCATCTTTTATTTCACAAGGCACTTAGTGAGGGAAAGGAATACAGAGATGAATATGGCCTGAAGGAATGAACTCATATTACAATAAATGAAAAAGAAAAAGAAATAATGAACCAAGGGAATGAGGGCAACAGGAAAAATAATTCCTTGCTACAGACGGGAAGTCAATCATTTTTAGGTATACATAATATTATACAACTATTTTTGTACACTAGTTCTCAAAACATTTATGATACCTAGTATAATTTTTATTGTTTGATTTCCTAGTGCTTACTTGTGTTTTACAGAAATATGTTACATTTTGAAATTATAATAAAATAATAGAGTTTAAACTCTAATAATTGGAATATAAATTGGGATGGAATTTATCCTTAAGAAAAGCTGTTTAAACAATTTAGTAGTATTAGTAAGTTGCAGGAATACTTTAATCTACTTACGAAAAAGTAGTTCAAGTTTTCTAAAATGGTTTCAGCATACTATCGGTATCTCACAATGTGTTAATTTTAAGTTAATTATATATTCTTTAAAGCAGATTAAATAATACTTGTCCTAAGCATAATTTATTTGTTGAAATTAGTATATGTGAACTTATGAAAAAATGTTCTTGTAAATTATTCTAGAATCCCAAATTTTAATTATATAAGAACAACCTTTTGTTCAATTGCTTTGAACTAATGATGAAGTTTTTTAAAATATTAAGTATTTTATTTAATGTGATATAGATTCAGGAAAAGTCTAACAAAAATGTACTTCAGTAGTTTTATTTTTATTTTGTGAAATTTTATTTTAAAGTTTAGGTAAGGAAAGTTTTTAAACTGTCTTAAATATTTAATAAAAGCAGTTGTTAAAAATATATGTTCTAATGTTAACTATATGACATATATGCCATTGCATGCATTTTGTTTTTTAAATAGGTTTTTCACCACTGGCCCCACTAGTAGATGATTTTACCCCAGATTTTGAAAACATACCACTTTAATGGCCTTTATTTCAAATACTTCGTACTTTAGGGATAGTATTTTGAAGATGTTTATCTTTTGTACATTCCTAGTTCATTTATTAATGTACTAAGAAAAAGAAAACAAAATGACTGATTCTTTTGTTTTGAATTAAATGTTTGTGCTGTATTAATGTTAAGTGAGTTAAGATAAAGGGAAGCTACAAAAATTTGAATGCCTACTAAATGCTAGGCACTTTATAGGTGTCTTCTAATATATGTCTATTGGTATCACATCAATTAATAACCCTGTGAAATGTCATTAGCTCTAATTCACCAAAGAGTAGATGGAGGCAGAGTTGTTATCAGTTTACATAATTAATTAGTGGTATTCACTTGGATTCAAAACTCTGCAAACTGAAGCCTTATATAGCTCAAACTAGTCATTAATCTGCCCTCAGCATGTATGAAAACATAATGTTTATCCGTACAGACCATTCTCTATAGCAGATTTGAATAGGTACTTAGCACACTTTATCATTGTCACTGGCTCTTTCGAAAGAAGTATTAATTTGTGCATTCTGGTTTACCATTCATTTCTTAACAAAGTTGCTTTATACGTTCCATAAAAAGTTTTCATGAAAACATTTTACATTAGCATGTTGTGTAGTGGGTTTTAAGTTATAACAGGTAATTAACAGATATTTCGGCCAACGAGACACACACACACATGAAAAAAATAAGTGAAAAGACAGAATAAATTGCAAAGGTTTTACGAGTGGACCACAAAGTTAAGGTTAAACTTCTGTCTTTGCATGTGGAGGAGACATATTAGTCTAGCCAGAACTTTCCTTTTGCTTAGCAGTGAGGTCAGAGAAGTATCTCTGTCATTCTGCTTAGAAGTATACATGGACTGCAATTGCTTAATTTACTTAAACTTAACATTTTCAATGGGTTTGCTGTGTGAAGATACAGTCTAAGATAAGTGCTTTGACTTGCCTCTGCAGAGGTCAACTTATTTCTCATCACACACATTTTTCTTATGTCATATAAGTAAAGGAAAGAGTGAAACGTTTTATAGAAAATATTACAGTGGAGTTAAGAACATCTGCCTCAAATGTACAGTGCATTTACTTTTTAAGTTAATCATTTAGTAGCTACCCTTTTAACCTCTACTATGTTCACAGTATTGCATTTGCTCTTGTAAACAATTTTGTTCCCACCTTTACATAGCGTATGACCTACTCAGTGAGAACATTCATTATTAAGTTTTTGCTATTAATTTTCATTTAAAATAGGTTTATTAACTAGCAAATCTCAAATGCAAAACATTTTTGAGTGAATTTTTCCTCAAATGTTGTATTCTACCTTTCAAAATATTGTGTAACAGCAATTCCACATTATCCTTTTGAATGCTACCTATATATTGCCACATATAAAGATATTTTTCATTTTTCATTTTTCATTGCTATCTTTTAATCCCTTTGCATTTTGATAATATCGAAAACAGATTAGGGCTGAAAAACTAAAAAAGATTAGGGCTTGTATTATGCATTGTCTAGTTACTTGAACAATAAGAGAAATTCTATCTTTGAGCTTTCATAATTGGCTTTCTGGACACCACTGAGTTTATTAGATAATCTTTAAAAATATTATGAACTATTTTGAGTGGACCTAAATTTATTCAGTAATAAAGTTTACTTTCCTAAATCCATTCCCCAAGTGAACAGGCTTATTTAAAATATGTCATATAAAAGCACTTTTCCTTTCTAACATTTTATGATTTAGGAATTAAAAAGTAGCTGTTCTTTCAGTAAATAAGTGTTAATAAAGCAGTGACCAAATAAATAACCTTTTGTTAGTTTAGCAGATAAATGTTTTCAATGTATGCCTTTAAAATTATTCAGTAAAAATTGAATTAGTACGTATTCAACATGAAATTTTTAGTCTTTTCTGACCAAGCACTAATAAAATTGATTTCCCTAAATGAGAAAATTTGTCTTCTGTATTTTAAGCAGAAAAAATATGAATTCTGCCTCTGATAATCAAATTTTGTACAGCAATGTGTAATGTGTCACAATTTAAAAAGTTTTAATTTTCTGACATGCAGATAAGGCCAAAATAAATAATACCATCTGTTTTTTTCACTTGAAAATACATTTTTAAAATTTTGAGTATATATATTATAGAGGTCCATGCAAATGGAAAAAAATTATTCTCTTCTGACATGGACTTTTTCATGACTATACACATGCTGAGGCTAGAATAAAAACATATATTTGTGCTATATTGTAAAAATAAAAACAATTTGTTCTCCTTTCTAATTATATGCCTTTAGAATAAATGAAATGATCTGCACTTTGGTAAAAAGTGATTTCACCTGAAATGCATTTCAGATTGCTTTTTAACAGGTTTTCTGCATTCAACAGACTGTCAGGCTCTGAATTTCAAGAACAGTTTTCAATAACAACAGGGCTATAAAATATATATAATCATGATTCGTAAGTAGTACTCAAAATATATTTTCAATGTCTCTGGGTTTTTCTGTTTCTAAGGATTAGGCAGAAAACATTAGAATTTGACTTTGCGGAGCCACTCATTTTAGCTTTTCCCATAATACTTTATACAGCCATAGATAATCCTCCTCTGGTCCGTGAACATGAGGGTAAGAAATAGAATGCCTTCCAAGCCAGAGCAAAGAATATTTCTATTAAAGGATATAGACAGTGTCTTGTGTGTGTGTGTGTGTGTGTGTGTGTGTGTGTGTACGTATGTATTTATATCTCTCCAGTAGTGTCTACATTACATATACATGTATAACATGTATACATATATTTATGTATAACTATATATAATAAAATATCCATATACTATGTATATACATAGTCTTATATACATACATTATATATACATATGTGTATATATCCCCAACAGCACATACATATATATATTATTTATTTCCCCGTCCAAGTGGTAATTGTGCTGCAGAAAAATCACATAAGTCAGAAAATGGCTATTGCAAAATATCAGTTGGGTACCATCTTAACTTGGAAACCTGTCAAATGAAAGGTGAATTATACTGGCATGATAGCAAGGATACTCTCTGAAAACCACGAGGGAGCTTACGGATTCTGGCTCAGCAGGTGTTGAATAGTATATAATCATCTACATTTTGAACATGGATTGTATGTGATTCTGGCGGAGGCGATCCATCTAGACTGCACTTTAAGAAACATTGGCTAGATAGAGGGCTTCTCACCCCTGACTTTACATCAGACTCACCCGAATTGTTTTTAAAACCTGATGATGATGCATGGGCTTCACTTCAAACCAACTAAAGAAGACTCTGGCATGGGGCATTCATTTAAGCATTTTTAAAAACACCTGATTTTAATATATAGCATTCAAGACCCCTGAGAGGAGGTACCAAATTAAGCATAAAATAGCTTGAGGATTAATTACAGAATACTACCGAAAGTACCTATTTCTCAAGAATCTAAGTTCATACTATTACTTGGCATTCTCCACCAAATATGGAAGTCAAAAATGTGTTCTCAATTAGCTTAATAGTGAAAAGCAAACAAGAAGTTTGGACAACTGACTTTATTACCCTGACATGTCACTGCCACAGTATAAATCTGAGTGGTCTGGTGCCATCCCCGTGGTTGCCTGACCTTTCCTGGTTCTGACTGACTTTCTGCTGTCACCCGCTTTATCTTATTATCCCCTTTCCCCTGTAGTCCTGTATAAATGAGGGTGAATAATTTCACATCTACTATTATCAACAATAACAAATTTTTAACTTTTATTTTGTTTTGCACATGTATCTTGGAACTTAAAGTAAAATACAAAAAAAAATAAAAAAAAGAAAGGAGGTTCCCATTGGAAGCGTTTTTCATTAAATGACTGTACCTTTACTCTGCTAAATAAAACAATTTTTTTTTCTGCTGCTCATTTCACAATTGCCTGACATTGGAGATCAGGAATGACATATGTTAAAATTGTTACTCAGAGAGATAAACACACCACAAACTATTATTATACACTATTGTCATCTGAAATGTTACTCCTTTTCCAGTTGTCTTTTGTTGTTGTTGTTGTTTTTACTTTATTCTCCTTTCTCTTTTTCTCTCATGTGACCTGCCAGCTGAGCATTGAGCCTTTTCAGCAACAGACACTGTATTTTTACTTGACATTGCAAAAAGAATTTTTAAGCTGCTTCTATATCTATGTGCATAATAGAAAGTGACATGTGTTCCTGGGATTGTCAAACAAGACCCAAAGGGCATCTGGATACATTGAAACTGCTTGGTTGTACTTTTGAGTCTTTGTGCTCATTCGTCAGTCCTTTAGTTCTGGCTTCCCTTGGGTTGTTAAAATTTGTTTTTCTTTCCTAAAGTCTCTAGCTAATTAGAGATTTCAGCATACAAACTAATCCTTTTTTTTTTTTTTTTCAATAAAAGGAGAACTGGAAATATTGTCACCTCTTGAGCATTTTAGCAGGCTGGTAGAGGAAAGGGTGAATTATTTAATTGGATAACTCTTGAGCCATATCTGACAAAAAAAATAAACTCTCATCCTCCTGTCCTCCTTTTGTTATTTTTTTTTCATTCTCCATCCTTCACCCCTTGTAATTGTTTTTATAGGATTTAGTATTGTACCTATTTTTATGCAGAAAGGAAATTTTTCTGTAGAGTAAGACCTTCCAATTTAGTAGCTTCTTATTAAGTTATAAGAATTCTTAGGATGAATAACTTTACTGAGACATCTGTGACAAATTTAGGTCTACCCAAGAACTCCAACAACTGCCTGCTGGGAAAAGAAAAAGAGGGAAATGCTTAATGAGCAAAGATCTATGTAAAAGTCCTAAAGCTAAATCTTAATAGGAAAGGCTTTATTTCAACCACTTGGAGGCATGCATGAAAATTTAGCACAAAATAAGGGATTGGAAAATAGGCTTACCATATTGATGACAGTGGTGGACTTTAGCAGACAGAGAATATGCAAAGATGCAACAGGTATGCAAATAACTCCAGGCAGTTTCAGCATGTCACGAATATATTTTATAGGCAATAGTTACTCTGGTTCTTGGTTAATCCAAATATTTTCCAGTGAATTTATTTGAGAAAAATAATTGAGTGAAATAAATGTAATGTTTCAGATTAAGCACAAGTTCTAAAGTAAATATTAATTTCAATCCTTCAATCTTATTCACATTGCCTATGAAGCGCAAAAGCTGGCTAGTGTTTATGAGGTGTTTAAGTGTGTATGTATGTGTGTATGTTTCAGATGGAAGAGGAGGGAGAATAAGAAAACGTTAAGAACAAATGACACAACTTTTGACCAAGCATATTTTCACATAAAATTGAAATTAAAGTCCCATGTTACACGTTGATATATTTTTCAATCTTTTAGAATTAGTTTCTTCAATTTGCTCGTTTGAAAATCCTCATATTCTTACATATGAAAATATACCTGGTGAGTTGGAGGAGAAATTTAGACTGAAGTGTAATATTATTATTTTTGGTTCAATAGAAAGTGACATGAGTTTCTAAAACTGTCAAACAAGATTCGGTAGTTATCTGGGTACGTAGAAACTGGGTGTTCTCTTGAGAGCAGAAGGAAAAAGCAAAATCTAGCTTTGGAGAAATGAAACTGAAGAACTCATGTTGACCTTTCTGGTTAGTAACAAAACAGGAAACCTAAAGCGAGAGGTGATATATGAACATCTCTTTGTTCTGCCACAAATTCTTTTTAAAATAGAGGTCCCCATGTGTTAAGTTTCTAGTCACTCTCAATACTTGGATCAAATGAGTGAAAGCAAATACTTTGCCTGAATTTCACGCACAAAAATC
Organism: Homo sapiens; assembly: GCF_000001405.40. NCBI lineage: Eukaryota > Metazoa > Chordata > Mammalia > Primates > Hominidae > Homo > Homo sapiens. The sequence continues at coordinate 72,674,256 of NC_000012.12, forward strand.
TCATTTGCTTTGACTATAGATGCTTTCCTTGCTTACTATAATACTCATCCTCACTTGAGATATTTGGTTTTGTAATACAGCCCTAGTATAATTAGCCACACTGCAAAGATAAAGCAAAATATCATTTGGCATACCCTAGTTTCTATACTTCTAGTAACATCTAAATTTGCAGTTTACTTATAAAGACGAGTTTGATCTACATAGCTCTTGGCTCAATTAAAGATCCAAAGTTTGAATATTGTTAAGCCAACTCTCAGTTAAATGTTGGCTGTTTTTTACACACAAGACAAAAAATTAATATTTTTTTCTTGCTGAATGTTGTTGTGTGAGAATTTGGGGATCTCGATAATGTTATTCCTTGTAACAATTTCTCTTTGTACATGTAAGTAGCATGTCACCTTTGTCCTCATTTAAATAATGACATGAGATTGTCATGGGATTTTTTCCCCCCAGATGTCATTGAGCCAGTAGATCTGATACCTGCCATTGGTTCCTCAGTTGGTTATTTGTGTAGATCCAGTGGTTAGGCTATGTTTACATGGTACCATATGTTGTTTGGGGACAACTTCTCTGTGCTCACAGACTATCCACTGCCTTCTTTAGGGTTTAATAAAGGAGCTAAAATAACATGGTAACAGAACCCTACACTTGTACATTTCTAATCACTTTCTTTTAGCTACCTGAAAAACAGAAATGGCAGCTAACAATACACCATATAGCCAAAAAATGGTTTTACTCTAATATCTTGCCAAAACTTTTTGAAGGAGGGAAGGGATTTTTCTTTCTCAAAATTCCCAAATACATCTGACTAAAACCAACTGGAAATCTTATAATCTAAATTAGACATTCATTTATTCATACTCAAAGATAATTTGTTTTTTTTTTTTTTTGAGACTGAGTCTCACTCTGTCACCCAGGCTGGAGTGCAGTGGTGTGATAAAGCTAATTTTTTGTATCAATTTAACTGTCTCTCCTCTGAACAGATCTTTTTTTTTTTACGTGTATATAATTCCTTCTGACTATACTATCCATATTTTAAATCGATATGTTTTATCTCCTCGCTAGATTATAAATTCTTCAAGGGTAGAGATGGTATTTATTTCCATTTTTGACAGAAACATCAAATATAATAAATTCTCAATCACGTTTTGTTGATTGAGAACAACCTAAGTGCCAGTATTAAAACAACAACTTTCCAGTATGAGCAAAAACAGCAGAGCAAGAAGACTTTTAAGAATGTAGAGCCACAACCAGAATAAAAAGTGTTGATCATTTTAAAGCACTGCAAAGCTAAAGCTTTAAAGCTCACACCATCTCTTTAATTTGTTCTAAAATATCACTTTAGAGCAACACTAGTTATCAACTTTGACCCACTTGGTGGAGTAAGTAGAAGAAGAGGAGGATAAGTTGCTATTTCATGACATATCTATTAGAGTAATTCATTTATAGTACGGAACCTTTGCCAATGATAAATGCATGTTACTGTGGTGCAATTATGAATGTACCTGAGCTTTTCAACAATAAAGCTGCCAAAAGGTTGCAAAATGCACAAGGGAGAGAGAAGCTTTAGTTGAAAAACTGAACTAACCAAGATAATTTTTAAAAAAATAGTGTCTATGTGGTTTATTCAAAGAGATTTTTGTTCACTGTTAATAGAAATTCTATGATTTTAAAAAAGCACATTTTCCATTTAATGATCTATCAACTTCACATATATTTGATTTTGCACGTGTGCTGCCTTCCCAAATTATCATCTAGAAAACATTCACAGTATCTCCTTTATTGCCACAAAATGTAAATCTATCCAAGAAAATGATGCCATTTATGGATTTCAAATGTCTTGCAAGATTTTGGATTGGACTGGGAAAATTTCATTAAGCTTTTATTCTTTGATATTTTAATATAAAACAGAGATCAGGTGGAATTATATAATCTTTACTAACTGCTAATGGTCTAAGCTATAACCACTATGGAGCTAATAAGTAGTACATTATTGTTGACCTACTGTGTGCTCAAATCTATATAAGATGCAATGCTGACATTAAAGTAATATAAGGCATAGTTTTTAGTCTAAAATAACTTTTTCTTATTTGCACAAACAGCAGTTACAAATAGAACAGAATACCATATAGGGTATGGTATAGAAAAACATATTTTATATATATATATGTATATATGTTTTCTTGTATCCTATTTGATATATGTTCTATAAATTCTTCCAGGTTTATGTATTATATATAACTATATATTATTATGTTAATATATGTATATTCTATATTATATATGTATTATATTAATGTTATATTTATTAATATGCTTATATATCATAATATATATAATAGCATACAGGAAAACATACAAAATATATTTTGAGGTCACTACAGAGAAAAGGGAAAGTTGTGTATGGACTGAATGCTTTAAGAAAGCTTTGTGGAGTAAATGGAGTTGGAGAAAGATTACTAACCATTACCTGTGGTTTCCATGAAAGGCAAGATAAGAAGCTGTGGGGCGGTGTGGGTAAAAGGGACATGTATGATATTGAAAAAGTTAAATAAGAAGACCTTGAGGATCTCTCCTCTTTACCATTTTTATCCACCAAAGATAGAGAAAGGCTCTGACTAGCTTTATTTTTTTTTCTGATCTGATGAGAACAAAGTATTTCTATTCTGAGGTTTACTTTTTAGAATAGTGATTGCCATAAGAAGAATCTAATATAGAGAACAAATGCCTGCTTAAAATGTGAGTGATGGAACTATATGGCAGGAAAGCAAATAAACAAATACATATATAATCCTTTAATTTTTTTACTTCCTGATTTTTGCAATTCTCAAGCCTCAAATTTGTCTCTGTGAGGGGTTCTGGCCTAGAGTGTTAAGGGGATCATAGAGAATGAAGAGCTGGAGAATTGGGGTCATTGATTGATTGGGGTAATGAGGATAAAATCATCTGGATGTAGAAAGTGTATTCTTCCATGAGTCAGCTCCTTGCTGGACCCTTCAGATCAGGTGATGGAGGTAATTTACTGGTTTGCAGCACTTAAAAGAGAAACTCAAGTGGAAAGCTTATCATCTCTCAATTTCTTATACTTTATTTTTAGAACAGAAAGAAACAAAGGGACTTGTGACAAGGATTACATTAACCTGGTGTAGTAAGCAGTGACCTCTGCAAGGAAGTGGACCAAAGGGCAAGCTGGCTTAATGATTGCTGCTGATTGTGCTGCAAGCCTAGTTGAAATTTATTTATTCCCTTAACCAATTTTATAAAAATTCTGTGGAGACAGTTTCAAAAGCTCTTTAAGAAACAAATTGGAATTAATCATGTAAGTACATGTCTTCCATAGGTCAACAAAGGATTTTTGCAGGGACTGACTAAGAATAATTCTAACTTCATGTATCTGTTTAAAATTCCTGTTTGTTTTGCTTTTAACCAATTTCTGCATGCTTTCCATACTGTAGCCAGTTCAAACTTCCTACAGCCAAATTTGGATATCATGTTGAATGATTCCCTTTGGTCTGTTGAAAAAAGTTCTTTGCCCTAACATTCAAGATCTTTTACAATTTGCCTTTGATGTACTATTTGTTCCTTGGTTTTCATTTCCTGTTGTACATCATACATTGGCTAAATTTTCTTGACTCTTTTGCAAGCTTTTTGTGGTGATGAGCATTTAGATAATTCTCATTTGCTGGAGGCTGGATATGGGCTCTTTACCGATCATACATTTTTTTTGTTTGTTTTGAGTCCTAGCCCCAGCCTCTGCTGCTTTAGCCACATGCTAAGACAGATAAGGAGTGCTAGTTTCCTTTTCTTTAGTAGAATGTTGTGTGAGGGCAGATAATATGTAAAGTAGGGATGTGAGTGAAAATAAAATGTAAGTGAGGGATTCCAAGCTTATGCTCAGAAATACAGGAGACAGGTAACCCCTAACCATTTGCAACTGGATATAGGAGAAAGGTAATTGACTTCCCTCCCCCAACTCCACGAAGACCATCATTGGCACATGCTATTGAGTACTGTTCACCAGCTGCAGGGATACAGTGAGCCAGCCTGATACCAGCAAACGACAACAATTACTCAAAGCAGACCAACAGAAAACCTGTAACTGTATGTTGTTTCAAAAATCAGCTGATCATAAATGGGCACATGCCTGTAATCCAAGCTACTGGGAAGGCTGAGGCAGGAGGATCACTTGAGCCCAGGAGCTCTAGACCAGCATGGGCAACATAGCAAGACTCCATCTCAAGAAAAAGAAAAAGAAAAGAAGTGAGCTTGTCACTGTGCTGGGCTCCCTGGTGATTTCCCTGGAACGTTTTCCCTTCTGGTGTCCTGTAGCTGTTTAGAAGAGCTTTCCCTGCAATGTGAGAACTTCTTATTGATACTTTATTTACTCTTTCATAAATTTTGGATCAACTTAGAGATAATTTTTGAGTAGTACTATTAAATCTGTTCTGTTGTAAGACTCCCTTTCTCTAGAACTGCTCATCAGAAAACCATTATTTTAATAGGTTAATCCTGATTAGGGATTCCAACACCCTCCCCACCCTGCCGCCCACCTACCAAGGTGAGATCCTCAACATTTTATCTCCTTTTAAAATTCTATCATTCCTTTCATCTGAATACTTTATCCTTTTATGACTGCCTTCTCAATGCTATTTATCTTTTAAGGCTCTAAGCATGTGTTTTTAAAGCAAGGTACTTGGGCCATTTCTATCTCAATCACCTAAGGTGCAGGTTAGAAATGCAGATGTCAGAAATCAGAATCTCTATGGATGGTCCAGATATCTAAATTCTAACAAGCTCTCCCGGTATCTTTTACGCATGCAGAAGTTAAAGAAACACTGTTCTACTCAAATGCCATGAAGTCATTTTCCTTCCCCTGGAAAACCAATGTACTTTCTCTGTCTTTGGAATTTCTTAAAAAAAAAAAAGTTTGTTTTTTACCCTTTAATATTTATAATAGAATTCTATCTTATAATTTTATCATAACATAATGATCTGTGAACTTGTTTTATTCCCTCTAGAATAGATGGAAGCTCCTTTCAGGCTAGGCCTGTGTATCTCCAGAGCATCTGGCGTGGGGCTTTGCTTCTAGCAGGTGCTTAATTCTTATCTCTAAGAATGCATGAAATGTTACCTCCAGGCCTTTCCCCTCCTCTTCTGTCAAAGCTCTGTGAACATAAGCTACAATGTAACTCCAAATCACTTGTACCATATTAAAATAAATGAACTGCTTAGAAAACCTCTTTCTTGAACTAAGCTTAGTTCACAGAATTTGGTCCCAGATAAATAGTTGACTCAGGCTTTTTTGTTCTCTGTAAATCTGCTTATCAGCAAAAGGTTTATTTCTGAAACTCATGGCTCAATATAGTGAAAAGTAGTCATTTGAATCAAGAACTAAAGAACGATTCATGGTTCAGGTCATAAAAATTGCCTATATGTCTCTCACTGGTGAATCATTTATGATGTCCTCAGAACAGTTTGAATTTTCAAAAGGTTAACTTTGGATGTGCATTTTTAGAATGTGTGTTTGCTTACAATATGTCAACCTACAAAAGGGCGTTTTCATAAAATACCACTGTTTAATTTCTACAAAATCCATGTGAGTGAAAAAAAGCATACTCAAATCACAGATTGGAAACATGGCTTGAACTTCAAATAGTTAGCTGCAATTACCATGAGACTATTCCTTGATATTTGGTTTTCCTAAAATCAGGCTATAACCTAAGCACTTCAAACAAGCTTTGCTATGGATTTAAATGACCTGAATGATTTACTTTATTTTCTAATATTGAAAAGACATGATGCTTCTTATTTTTTAATAAACCAAGTAAAATCCAGTGAAACAAACACAGACAAACAGAAAATGTAATTAAACTACTTATTTTAAAAGAAAGCTTACAAAGAAAAAATGGATTTATCTAAGCTTGCTACAGATATTGCAAGAGCTTTAATTAGCATGCAATATTGCATTTAAGCATTAAATATTAGTGAAATTATATGAATTCATTACACTAGAGTTGACATCTAAATAATATCCATCATAGAAAGAATATCACAAATACTTTTACAGAGGTGAAATAAATACACTTGAATATTTTATGGATGTATGCCTTTCTCAAATGATAGAGGTGAAAAACATTTTAGGGAGCAAACATTTTAGGCGAGAAAATTTTACAAAAGCCTAAGGCTTAAATGAAAGGTGAATGTGATATTTTAAATTCAAAGAAAAAGTAACATTAGCATGCCATCGAAAAATAATATAAATGCAGAGAAATAGACTGTCAAATGTTAGAAAGTACACATTTTAGAACTATAAAATCTCCTCACAATGAGGTATACTCTGAAAAATTTCAAGGAACCTTGACTCTGTCTCTCAGTCAGTTCAGTTACATCAACTATCCCCAAACCCAATACTCTCTGTCCAACCTCTTCTGGATCATTTGCAACTCTCAGGCCTAAATCAGGTTTGAATTCCTATAAAACATTTCTGAGTGTATCTTGTTGCTTCCTGTCTTCTCCCTGCCTATCTTCCAACTCTAAGATTCCATCCTACACATCTCTGCTAAAATGATTCTTTTTAAATGTTGTTTTCATCAAATCACTCCTCTGCTTGAGAATTTAGAGTGACATTCCATAACTTATTATATAAAATCCTAACTTGCCTTGCAATAACATCTTTCACCAACTGGGCTACCCCTTCATCCAACCAAACAAATAGTCATCACTCTCAGAAACATGTGGGCCTGTATACATTACATAATATGCTTGATGTTTTTAGGGACATTGTGAAAGATTTTTGAAAAAGTTTACTGATGTCCTTTCAATGGAATATTGAATGTTTTTTAGGGTACTCTTCAAGAGCTATTTTATCTTATGGTATTTCATGGTGTGCACCTTTGAGTTACTTGTGACTGGTGTAGTTTTCACCTTTCTAGGGATACAGATAAACTTCTGAAAAGTTGATGACAGTGCAGATATCTCCTGTTCATAGTGATGCAAATGATTCCTGCCCTTGGCAGTTTGAAGAATTGGTCTTATAAAGATTAAGACTCTCTACTGTTGTTCACATCTTACTAGTTCCCTCATTACTTAACAAGTTAAAGCATTGAACTGAGTTTATTTTATATTTTTATGAGTCATTATTTTACCTTTTTAAAATTATGAGTTAACAGGGTTTACTATGCATAAATCCTATTGCCTTCTTTGCCTTGTAAGTCTCCATGTGTCACCTGCCCTCCCTTCTTCTAGTACATACCTACACTCTTTGAAACTCAATTCACATTCACCCCTTTCTAGAAACCTTATCAATATGAATGGTGTTAAGAGATAGTTAATGAGAAATTAACTAATGAGATAATTAATGGGAAATAGTAAGATGTTATAAGCTGTTCAAAAAACTCAAAGAACTACATGGATATAAGGCCACCAGGAATGCTGATATAAATGCACTTAATTGATGACAAACTGGCAAAACTGGTCAGTATCCACCAGGCAATAAATCAGCCAAATCTCTACCAAACACAACTTGCATGTCTATGAACAAGAATCATTTGCATTACTATTGGATATTTTACATAAGCAAAAGAGATATAGTGGTAAAAACAAAATCCCTGCCTTCTTGGAGTTTATATTCGTGTGTGTGTGTGTATGTGTGTGTGTGTAAGAAGTTAAAGTCAAATATTAAACAGATAAATATGTAACATGGCCTTTAGAGACATGTACTACTCTATAAAGAAATACAAAGCAGGATACTAATGCCAAGTAATATAGGATAAAAGAGAGTATTAATTTCTATGGAGTAATCAATAAGGTATCTCCGCAAAGGTGATATTTAAGTAGAAACCCAAAGGAAAAGGAAGCAAACTGTGAGGCTATGAGAGTTAAGGGGAGAGAATTCCATGTATAGGGAACCCTGAGTACAAAAGCCCCAGAGCAGGGGAACTGGGACTGCAAGTGGACCTGATGTAGTGAAATGCAATGAGTTCCAGGAAGAGGAGCAGTGAGAAATGACCCTGGGGTGAGTATAGGAGGAGACAGGCAAAAGGAGCTCCTGATGAACTTTTTGTCCTCTTTCATGACACTGATTTTTTTACTTCCAGGGAAATGGAGCATTACCAAAGAGTTTGGGCAGAAGCAAAACATGATTTGACATAGGAAGCATTCTGACTGCAATGGAATGAATAGTCTAAAGGAATCAAAGGGAAAGCAGGGATATCAACTGGGAAGTTTAATGAATTTAATTGTATCTCCCAAAATGATATGTTGAAGTCTTAATCCCCTGATACTTGTGAAAATGACCTAATTTGGAAAGAGGATCTTTGCAGATGTAATCAAATTGAAATTAGGTCATTCTGGATTAGGGTGGTCCCTTATCCAATGATTGTTGTCCTTATAAAAAGAGAGAAATTTGGACCCATATGAACAAGAAGGTCTTATGAAGACAGAGATAGAGATTATGTTGACACAATCCAAGAAATAGTAAAGGATTGCCAGCAACCACCAGAACTGGGAAGCAGTCAGGATCTAGATCCTCTCCCAGAGCCTTCAAACAGAGTATGGCCCTGTTGACACCTTGATTTTGGTCTGTAAGTCTCCAGAATATGATAAAATAAATTTCTGTTGTTTTAGGCAACCCAGTTTGTGGCACTTTTTAATGAAAGCCCTAGAAATCTAAACAAGGGGCTATTATAATAATTCATGTGAGAGATGATGATGATTTTGCCTGATTGGTGCTGCTGGAAGTCTTGAGAGGCCCTGGATCCAGGGTACTTTAAAAAGGTAAAATTGACATGATTTGCTGACATGTCTGTGGTGCCTAGAGAAGCATTAGAAGTAATTCAAGAACAAATGCAGCCTTTTGCTCTTAAGAATTGAACTCAGGAATACCTAACAGCCATATTTCTGAACAATAATGATAGATGTCCATGATGTTTTTATTGCAAATTTGCAATGGAGATCAAACCTAGAAAGATCAATTATAATAGGAGCTATTACTGATCTCATTCTTTGTGCTATGCTCTTAATATATACATGTCATTTAATCCTCCCAAGACTCCTGCAATATAGATATTTTTACCTTCATTTTACAAATAGGAACCCTTCACCTAAATATGTTTTGTATGTACTCAAGGAAGTATTAGAGGAAAGATTGAAACCCCAATTTTCCTGATGCCAGCACCAACCGACTTTCTATCAAGAAGTAAACAATGCTTTAGGGAATACAACAATGTTTCTGAGAAATTAGGATGCTAAATAAAACATTTCATTTACAACTCAGTTTTAAGATGGTTTTTATATATTCTTAGAATGTATGGAATACTCCTGCCTTTGTTGTTTTTGTGTCTTCATGGAACCTAATTTACTGCTAACAAAGAGTAGACACTCAACGAATACCCACTGGATTTAAATTAATGTACTCACTGGCCCTTGGTATTAGACAGATTTCTGTGATGGTGTATTATTTTATAGGGAATCATCTGTTTATATATACTTGATATAGGTTAAATAATACTTATTTACATTTGTGTAATACTTCATAATTTGCCAAGGACTTTCATACTAGTAACAATATTGACAAGATAAGTAACAGTTTCTGTTATCTATTGCTATATACCAAATCACCCTAAAATTTACAGTCTTCAAACTAACCGTGATGGTTAATAAATTCAGTGTCAACTTAATTAGACTGAAGGATGCAAAATATTGTTCCTGGCTGTGTCTGTGAGGGTGTTGCCAAAGGAGATTAACATTTGAGTCAGTGGACTGGGAAAGGCAGACTCACCTTCAATCTGGGTGGGCACAATCTAATCAGCTGCTAGCATGGCTAGGATAAAAGCAGGCAGAAGAAAGTTAAAAAGACTAGACTGGCTTAGTCTTCTGGCCTACGTCTTTCTCCCATGCTGGATGCTTACTGCCCATGAACATCGGACTCCAAGTTCTTCACCTTTAGGAGTCTTGCCTTTGACCACAGACTAAAGGCTGCACTATTGGCTTCCCTATTTTTGAGGTTTGGGGACTTGGACTGGCTTCGTGCTCCTCATCTTGCAGACAGCTTATTGTGGGACTTCAACCTGTGATTGTGTGAGTCAATACTCCTTAATAAACTCCCCTTTATGTATACATCCTATGAGTTCAGTCCCTCTAGATAACCCTGATTAATATACCATCTATTTTTAAAAAAATTATTTTTCATTATTCTGGGGGTTGACTGGGCACAGGTGGTTCTTGCTCAAGGTTTCTCATGTAGTGAGTCAGACAGTGGCTGGGTCCAGAGTCATCTTGAAGATTTCTTCATTTACATGTCTAGGATTGATACCAGCTGGAGTCCTACTTGAGCTGTTGGCCTGAATGCCTACACATAGATTTTCCATGTGGCCTGGCCTTCCTCATACTTGGACACTAGATTCCAAGAGACAGCATCCAAGGTGATAAGCAGTAGATGTAGCAATTTCTTAAGGATGATGTCTGGGAACTGTCACAGTGTCACCGCTATTGAATTATGTTGGTCATTTACAGAACCTAGATGCAAAGGGAGGAACATAAACCCCACATCTTGATCGACAGTGCGCCAAAGAATTTTAAAATCACATTTAAAACTGCCGAATGAGAAAAACTTAATTTTTGTATTTTATACCAGAAAGGTTAAAAGTTGAGAAATTGGGATCTTTCCTAAAATCGAGTTAATAGGGGCTGCAGCAGTGATTCAAACCAAATTCTTCTTACTTTATTATACTTTCAATCATCAGAAAGCAGTGAAGTGGAGTGTTTGAGAACTTGATATCTGGAGTCAGATTGTCTTAATGCGAATTTCAGTTCTTCTACTTTCTAGCTCTGTGATCTTGATAAAGTAACTTGGCTTTTCTTGCCTTGGTTTACTCATCTGTGAAATGTTAATAATTGTACCTAACACAGATAGAGAAGTAAGAAGATTGAGCTGATAGACATAAGAACTTAGAACAACACCTGGACTAGCACATAGTAAGCACTCAATAAGAGTCAGCTATTATTGTACATTTCACAACTGGCTGGCAGAATTTTGAAGAAATTTGGCAATTTTGTGGGTTAAATGTGTACATGTAAAGCATGCATGGAGGAAGTTTAAGTGACAAATGGCAAGTGTTTTTAATAAGATGTGATGCGTGCTCTGCCAAGTGTTTAGTTAACTTTCTTCTGTACTTTCATTGAATCAGATCTCAATCTTAAACTTTCCACACTGCATAGAAACCATCTGTTTATCCATTTGTCTCCTTGCTAGAATGTCAAGTCAAGGGGGCAACATTATTCTTATTTATCTTTGTATCTTAGTGACTTACATGGTATCCGGCACATAGTAGGAGTTCAATGCTTTGGTCAAATAGATACATAGTAGGTCAATACAGTGGACTAAAAATCTGAAATGAGGGAAGAGCACTGTATTTATTCTGAAAGGATTTTCCTTTGTGGACTTGTGGGCTTATCATACTTTGAAAATTTCAAAGAAAGTGCAGGGGAGGAAATTATAGACTGAGATAATAACCAAACAACCCATTTACTTTAAAATTTTTTCATTCATTCACTCATCCACTAAGAGATGAGTTATTTGCCTCCTTACAAAAGAGTAAAATAATTTTCAATTATTTCTATTTTAGAAACAACTTGTTATGTATTGTGCAGTCCAGCCACTCGGTTAGATAGGGCTCAGCATTATATTTATACTCAAGAAAAAATACCTTACCCTTTGAATTCATTATCAAGCCTGATAAACATTAGAAACTGTAGTCATGTTTGAATACAGAGAGAACAGGGAACTCCTCTGCTCCAAGAACTTAGTAATTTAAATATAGTTTTAAAATTTATATTTTATTTTGACATATGATGGTTTTTATCTTTGTTGCGATGTTGGTAATCCATTGAGAAATAGCAGAATGACGTGGAACTCTAATTTCTAGAATCCATATAAAGAAAAATAAAGATAGTAAAGCTCTAAAATTCCCCAGACTCATAATTGAATCAATAGGATTTTGATGCAAAGAGGTCTGTTGACACATTATGATACTGCCCTTCTTGGAATGTATAGGAGAGTCTTGCCTTGTTCCATATTACATAAGGTATCCATTAAATGCAGATTATCTTTCAAAGGAAAGGCAGAGATTAATGAGTAAAACCATAGTGTTGCATTAAATGAGCCTGATGAGAGAGCTCACAGAAAGATCCCTCAAAAATATTCATGAAATAAGAATAGTTGCAAAGTGATTATTGAATGATAAATTTGAGGAAAGAGGCCCTACCTAAAAAAAGATATTATTGTAGTGAAAAACTTTTATAACATGTTGAGCAATTTTTGACAATTTGGTTTAGGATGTAATCACTGCAATTGTTTGCGTGGGTATTTTCTTGGTGCTTTCTGAGTTTCCATCAACTTTTCTGCCTGTAGTCAGCAAGTTCTAGATCATAGTTAAGAAAAAAAAATTAAGAAAATACCTCTCTTTCTGGCTCTTTTACATTGTCTACTTATTCTCATCCTACTCACACTGAAAACATAAGTAAATCTTGATGCTAAGGAAATATTCCTCTTCCATTAGTTCAGTGTAGATTTGTTTCATTCTGTGAGTAAATACTTGGTTCTCTAGGGGCTTAAAATTTCTCATAAGAAAAATTACTCAACCAGTGAATCAGTTAACATTTTTAGGAGGAGGGCACTGACCAGCTGTTCTCTTCCTCAGGGGCAGAATTGGATGAAATAGACTTACATAGGAAATGGAAAGTTATGAGGAAGAAAACCTTTCTGATGATAAGGTTGATAGAAGCCTAAAGGGTTCAAGTTTTCTTCCCAGAGTAAATGTGACCCAGTAGATGAAAGCTAGCCTGTAACCTGAGATAGATTCCTGAATCTGTGCTTTCCTAGCCGAGTCTGTATCTTTGGACGATTTGAGTTTTCCTAGCCTCCATTTAATCAACTGAAAAAGGGGAGAAGATAATATTTAACATTTAGAGCTATTGCATAGATTTTAAAACGATTTACATGAAACTCTTGAAACATAATTCACAGTCAATAAATGGTAGCTGTGATTATTATCACTACCACTGACTTGGGGACATGTAATCTCATATCATCAGTTCAAGGTGATTTCAGTGGCAATGATTTTCCCAGTCTTCATTTGGAGGAAGGAAGCTTGGCAAATAACACACAAAGTAGTTTTTAAAAAACATAACTGATAATGATTATTTTCCCTTTAATAGTAGGAGAACGAGAATTCTCCATATTTCCTGGAGGAAGAAACCCATTTTTCTCTAATAGCATCTCGTAATGTGCTGCTGCCCATATCCCTGCCATTCTAATTTACAATAATAATATGCTAATTTTATGCTTGTAATCTTAGATTGGATTAAGTACCAGATTTTTAGAGAAATAAATGACAAAATATATTTCTTTTGGAATATTTTTATATAGAAAAATACTTAAATATTTCCTATGACTCAATGGTTATATTTAGCATGCACATCTAAAACTTGATTATGTCTTGCTCAGGCTGGTCTTTTTGAGTGCATTTTCAATGATAATGTATAGTTGTTTAAGAAAAAGGATTTTGATTTTTCAATTTTAACGTTAATTATGGGATTTTTAAGAAAAGCGTTAAAGAACTCTTTAGTTCCTTAAAGTTTCCATCACATTCTTTGGACTGTTTGTTTATACCGAGATTAGAAATAGTCCTACTGTTTTAATTTTGTTTGTAATTTTTTGCAATTAGAATACATAAATTACATCAACTTGCATTGTGTGCAGAACCCAGACCTACATACCTTGAAATCAATATAGCTATAAACAGTATATATTTCCAAGCCATGAAAAAATAAAAGCCCAAATTAGATTAATCTATGAAGGGATCTAATGGCTCCCACTGACTTTTCTTATAAGATAGAAACTATGAAAACTGCGGTGGGCTTCTTATCACAGAGATCTTTCTTAAACTGGATGCTCAGTACTCTTTTAGAGATCTTAAGGAAGGAAGGCAATCTTCCATACCTGGAGTAGAAGTTGGCTTTTATTTGCTCCTATTTTTCTCTGTTTAATCAATTAAAAAGTATTTACAATGTTCTCTGTACTGTGATAAGTACTCAAGAGATTAATATGGAAAGAAAAGACATGGCATGTCAATGACATACTTACTGAAATATTTCTTGGAAGAGCAAGATTTATTCATACAAAGTAACTTATAGGCAACCATTGTTAATCTCTCCTAATTTATTCCATTCCTTCAATCATTCGTTTCCCCAAAATTTATGAAAACATACCATCTTCAAGAAAGTGCTAGGCTAGGGTTTGAGGTTACAATAGAGAAAATAAGTGGTTCTTGCCTTTGCAGAAAATGTAGCAATAATTATGAAGGAGTTGTAAACAAAGAGCAATGGGCCCATAAAAGAAAGCATGCCTAATTCTGACGGTATGTCAAGGAATTCTCAATAGAGTTAATTTTTTTAAAAAACTGACTCTTGAAAGTTGACTTGGAATTTACCAGGCAGAGTATGATCAACCAGGCAGTAGGGTATTTGGGTTAAAGGCATTGTTACCTGGGGTAGATGGAAGGGACACACGTGGAATTGTGAAGAAGAACAGCATATTTGGAAAATGAGTAATTCAATATTGCAGGGAAATAGGAACAAAGCAAATGGCAGAAGATGGGACTATACTGAAAGACACTGGCCAGATTATGAAGTACCTTAAATTTCCTACTAAGGCATTTATGTTATTGGAAATGGGAAGTAATTGAAGGATTTTATGAAATGGGTTATCATGATCATATTTGAGTTTTATGACGATAATACTAGTGGTAATTGAAAATTAGGATAAGGGTGGAGGCTCTGACATCAGTTGATAGCTTATTGCATTCATCCATGACAGATTTGATAACTTTCTGAACAGAAGCATGGCAGTGGAGGTGGAACAAAGGTAATGTCCTTGAGAACTATTAGGAGGCAGAAACTCTAGGATGTAAGCCACTGTTAATGTAATGGCTATGGGGTAGGAAAGAGTTTCCTATCATAAATAGGTTTCTGGCTAGAGAGACTAGGTATTTTCTGTCAATAAGCCAAACCTATTATAGACTTAATGGCACAGCACCTGGCAGACATAAACAGTATATAACATATACTTATATACATAACAGTATGTTATGTATACTTATATACTTATATACATAACAGCATATAAGTATAAGGATACTTATAAAGCACATGTAGATCTCAGGTATCCCATAGAATTAGTTACAGAAGAATACTTTTTTGGGGGTAAGACCAGGTTTGGGGTGACCTGGCTACATTTTTGGGGAGAAATCTGATGTACTTTTTTCCTTTGGTAGACATAGTTTAAGAAACTTATTACAAAATTAACAACACAAATCTAAGTTCACACATTTTTAGGTCCCCTCTTAAGTTTTGGAAAGGTCTGTACCATAAAAGTTTTTAAAGTTTAAGCTTCATTAGTGTTATGGAAAATCCACCTCTGGCTAAGGTATAATTTTATTTCTCCGTCAGTTATATTCCCACCTCTACACACACACACACACACACACATACACACACATACATACATACACACACACACACACACACACACACACACACACACACGCAGACACACATTTATTCTCCTGCCCCTGCCCTGCACTCCCCGCTAGAGAATTTTATGGTTATTTCCTGTAAAGTCAGTTGACTTTGAAGTCTTACAAGGCCAATGAGCACCTTGTGAGAAGTCAGTACATTTTTTAATCCTTAAACACAAAATATTAAAACAACATTTCAATCTGTAAGCAATGCAATACTCATTCTTTCTTAAAAATATCACGGATAAAATAAAGAGGTTTTAGTAACAATTATAGTCAATATTTATTAATTAAGCACTCAATAGCAGATGGTCTCCTTATATGTGGTAACCTTCTTGATCCTCACAGAAATCCTTTGTAGTAGGTTCTATTTCTCTTCCTAATTTACAGTGAGAAAAGTGAGTCCCAGAAGGGTTAAATAACTTTCCCAAGTTGTAAACAGTTGACAAATGGTAGGGCCAAGTCTTGAATCTCAGTAGTTTGGCTCCAGAACCTGTGCTCACTTTAACTTTCATGTCACTGTATCGCTTCTTATGAATGTATTCATGTTGTGAATTTATTCATGTGATAGATGGCAAGCACAGAGACCGTATTTGTAGGCATTTTAGTGAACAGTTAAAAATGAGCTCGTGAAGAGAGACAGACAAGTCAGTAGGAGTAATAAACATTTACTAAGCCCCTACTATATACTAATGTAGCTAAGCTTGGGAGACATTTTCTTTCTGTCTTCTCGGATATGTTCCTATTTTCTTTCTAGATGAAAAGTATCAGGAAAATTGATGATCGAATAACTCTGGATTGGGAGCCATTTTCTGGTTGTACAATATTGTACTCTACAAAGATTGGTCTTTTAGTGCTCTTCAGATCCCCATGGGGTGAAATGGCAAAAATCATGACTCTTCTGTCTTCCCCTGACCAAATGAACGCTGACCCCCATATGCCCTAATTCTTCTATCCTCCTTTTCTTCCATGGAACTCACTTGAAAGCACTCTTTGCAAACATAGAGGCTTCCAGAGACCAGGCATGTAGGATAATTGTGTGAAGCAGGGCAGAGTAAGATAATAAGGAATGGTGGGAAATGTGGAACCAGTACCCATATACATGCCATCCCAAAAGGCATTCAAATTCACTTTAGAAACAATACAAACAGCAAATACCCTGCTAGCCAAATAAAATCTTCAAACAGATGCAGGTTCTTTATTTTCAGTCAACCATCCTGTTTGTCAGCCCATTTCTATCATGTGTCTCCTCCTCCCCTTTTCCCACAGGTGAAACCAGAGTGAAACCAAGCTTAGATAAACAGAATAATGGCCTCAAAAGATGTCTGCACGCGAATCTCTCAGAAACTGTGAATATATGATGTTAGTTGGCAGATGAATCAAAGTTAGAGACCTTAAAATTAAAAAAAAAATTATCCTGAATTTTCTGTCTGGATTTGATCTAATCACACGAGCTTTAAAAGTAGAGAACAACCTCCATTGAATCAAGAAGGGAAAGGCAGAGAGATTCAGAGTGAAGAAATTGATGCCCCGTTGCTGGTGCAAAGATGAGAGGGGCAAAGGGCAGAATGCAAGTGGTCTTTGGTAACCAAGAGAAGCTCGTGACTGAAAGTCCGCAAAGAAACAGATACCTCATCTCTATAACCATAAGGAACTGTATTCTGCCCACTAACCTGAATGAGAAAGCTGACTCTTCTCCAGAGCCTCCACAGAAAGGAATGCAATCTTGATTTCCTCCATGTCGAACTCTAAGTAGAGAAACAGCTGAGTCACACTGTGCCTGAACTTCTGCCCCACAGAGAATTTGTGATAATAAATTGGCATCTGAATTTCCAAGTTTTTGGTAATTTGTTACAGTAGCAATAGAAGCCAAGGTTCCCACTCCTTCTTTTGTCTTACATTGTGGCATCTCAGACTTCAGTTGCATATTAATGGAATTAATTAATTTCTGCTGGCCCCAAAGGGAAGTGGGAAAAGGGAGAGCTCTGGCCCTGTGGCTGGCTGCAAGTCTCAGACAATAGATATTGAAACTCAAGTTTTTGCTATGTTAATCAAGGCTGTGGCCAGTTTTTCTCCTGAGTTATATCAAAATATATACTCCTCGACAAGATTACTAATTGTTTAAAGACCACACAATTGATTTAATGCTATGCATTTTTTTCTATTTTCTCATTTAATCCTTCAACATTGACAAGTATTATTTTTCCAAGTCATGAAACTTGCAGGAAAGTTCAGTAACAAGTAGTATAGTGGCATTGAAATTTAAGTCCTTTGAATTCTAGCAATGTTGGGAAAAGAGTGGGTTACTTTATTACAAGGCACTGGAAAGCTGGGATGAAGCAGAATTGGGTCTCATCCATCCTTTGAGCTAAGAAGTATTATCTCTCCACCTTTATATGTAACCCTTTTAGATGTCTGTAAGAAAGTGATCCCACCCCAGTGTCTGTAACTAGATTTATGACTGTCAGTTGAACATTCAGAGCACCAGAACACTTGATTAATTGCTACAGGGCATTTGTTATTTTATTAAGGTGTTTATAATTCAAAAGCAATGCACTAATCTCGTGGAGTGAAATGTGTTGATGTATTTTCATAGAATATCATCTGTTGCTGCCAGGAAGCTGAGAGGTCTGCATCAGTTACTTCCCCCATCCAATTCCAATTGTTTCATGCCCCCAAGTCACTCTTTTTATTTCTTTAGACTGGAAAGCTTATCTTGGTAGGATCACTGTTTTTCTCTCACTGAATTGTAAGCTCCATAAAAGCAAAGACCACTCTATTTCATGGAATAGTTCCTGGAACATGTGACGTAAGAACTCAATGCATTTTTGTAAAAGAAAGCAAATAATGAAATCCCATAATTAAAAACAATGAATAATAAGAAGTGTAGTGTTTTATTGAGAGAGTGAAAGGGAGTCTTACCCTGAACATTACCCATCTGATTATATATATATTTTATTGTATGGGAAAGTAGCTACCAGGAATTCTAAGTTATATGAAAACTCTTAATTTGTTCTGCAAATTTGTCTTCTAACTTTGGCTTTAATTCTTTTATTATTATTGTTTTTGTTTATTTTGCAATGATTTTGTTATGAGCTTATTGCTTGACTGAGGACAGGCTGTTATAGTTTAGAGAAAGGAATATGATTAAAAGGTATAATGCAGCTCAGTGGAAGCTTGGCTACTTAAACAGAGCTCAAGGCTGCACTATCCTGTATGAACCCTTTGGGTGAATTAAAAACAAACAAAAAAACAAACAAACAAACTTCCCTTGGGCAGACTAGACCAGTGGAGATGCCCCCACTGGCATCTCCAGTCTGTTTTATACACTGAACAAGCTGAACAGCTACACACAGCCATCCTGCCTGGTTGGTCATTGTCAAGTATACCAGTGTAACATCATTTTGGGCAATTCCTAAGACCTTCTTTAGCTTTTTGTTTCAATTTATTTATTTATTTTTTGTACCCACTTCCAAACTCCATACTCCTATTCCTCCAGACCTCTACTCTGAAGTCTGCCTCTGATAGCCTCACATTGAATGACCCTCTGAGTCACCTTCTACCATTTTGATTTTGGACATTTTTGCTATTTTTGTGGCTTTGTTTGCTTCTTTGGCCACCATGACCTTGATATCTGGGAATGAGATTCTCAGCTCTGGGCTTGGTGCAGCAGAATCCAAAACCCCACTCAGAGCAAGCCTACCCCAGCATCCTCGGGGAAGAGAGGAAATTAAAACAGCACCAAAGCTTTTAAATAATTTATGTAAATACCTCAAAAAACAACTTGAAATGTATCCATGTGATCAGAAGCATCAGACAAAGCTAGAGTCAATGTGATATTCTAAATGGCCATAGGACCTCACTGCATAAACTATCGGGCAAATTTGATTGCCTTTGGAGAAAAAAATACATTGAACCAGCTGAGAAGTAAAAAGAATTACATCATAAAAAGTTTCATTATGTGGAAATGGAAACTTTGCCTTATGGTAAAAAAAAAAAAAACAAAAACAAAAACAAAAAAACTCATGAATACATGTTTTACTAACAGTGATTGTTATTGACCACTCTTTGGCTGTACAAAGGGAGCAGGTATGGAAATGTACTGGGACATCTACCACACTTTAGTAATCCCATCCATTAAAGTACTCTAGGAAAATCATTATTATTAATAAACATCCTTCCTCTCAATATTTTCTTCTAAAGGTCTATTATTTCTAAAGATATTACAATAAAAACAATCTAAAATTTAAAATAATCTAAAAATTTTGGAAACAAAAACTAAGACTATCCCTTCCAACTCTGGCCATAGCTGTTAGAGTCTCATTAAATAATGCAAATACCTGTTCCCAAACATAGCTGTCTTCAGAAATTCCCTTTCCACCATCCATCACCCATCATGATGTTTTCATCAGCTGCTTCTAATGATTTTGTTGCTGCTTCTGACTTGAAATTTTAAGGAGATGAATGAATTGACAAATGGATGAATGAATGCATGCTAACTCAGAACTGTCTTGTTCTGAGTGGATGGAAGTCAGTCAGATAGCACTGATGGGGAATGTGAGAAAGAAGAGTGCTCTTCTTTGTCCATATTAATGAAACTCTGTCTTGTTATAACTCAATAATTTCAGCAACTGATGGGAGACAGATGGCTGCAGTGAACACAGGAATTTTAAAAGAGCTCAATGCTCAGGTTGCACAACATGTTGTTAAGAGCTTTGACATTTTTATCAAATGAACTTATATAATTTCACTGTAGATGGATTTTTAAAATTTATTTAAATGAAAGTAATGCATTAAAGTGGTAATAAACAATCTGAAGAATTGAAATTTTCCTTTTTCTAATCCAAACTCTTGACCAGCAATTTCAATCCTTGATGATAACAATAGCTCCCTGATTACAATCTTTCAAGTATCTTTCTAAAAATAATTGTAAAGATAAACAAGCACATTTGTGTGTGTATGTGTGTACATCTTTTTTATTTACACTAATGGGATAGTACTAAAATATATTATACACTTCACTTTTATCTGATAATAATATATTATTCAAATCATTTTAAACCAGGAAATTGAGATCTACTTCTGTTTATATATTTTCAAAATGTGTCTTAATTATATTCAAAGCATTGGTAAAGATTAAGTTTTACCTATCCTCCCACTTATACCTAGATGCAATTATTTTATAAACTATTTTTTGTTTTAAAATCATTTGGTGATTAAGCTACTATAGAATCACCTCTATAATAATCTTTAAACAATTACTTTTCAGTTCCTTTTATGAAGCATGACTATTTGTCTTGCTGACATTAATTCCTTCCCTCTCCTTCTAATTTTTGATAGCTATGTTGATTAGCTTTATAATTTTGAATAATAGATTTATTACTATTTCTTGTTCCATAATGTTCAGTTAGGGCCTAGGATTCCCTATAGTTATCTTACCTTCTGAGGCAAAGACTACACCAAAATGCATCCTCCTTTACTTCCACATTAAAACAGTTTTAGTTAAAATGTGGCTGCCCAACTAAGTACTATTATTCTCAGAAAGACTTGTTGCTAAATGTAATCATGTGAGAAAATTCTTGCTAATAAAACATGGTGTGGGAATGATATCTGTTAGCTTCTATACATTTGCTTAAAAGAATACTATTACCTTCTGTGATGGTTAATACAGAGTGTCAACTTGATTGGATTGAAGGATGCAAAGTATTGATCCTGAGTGTGTCTGTGATGCTGTTGCCAAAGGAGATTAACATTTGAGTCAGTGGGCTGCAAAAGGCAGACCCACCCTTAATCTGGGTGAGCACAATCTAATCAGCTGCCAGCATGGCCAAAATAAAAAGCAGACAGAAGAACGTGAAAAGACTAGACTGGCTTAGCCTCCCAGCCTACATCTTTCTCCCAAGCTGGATGCTTCCTGCCCTTGAATATTGGACTCCAAGTTCTTCAGCTTTAGGACTCAAACTGACTTTCCTTGCTTCTCAGCTTGCAGACGGCCTATTTTGGGACCTTGTGATCATGTGAGTTAATACTCCTTAATAAACCCCCATATATATATATACACACACACACACACACACACACACACACACATATATATACATACACACACATATACATGTGTATATATATACATGTATATACGTATATATACGTATATATGTATATATGTATATATACATGTATATATGTATATACATGTATATATACATACATACACACACATATACACACATATACATATACACACATATATATACATACACACACGCATGTATATACATATATACACACACATACATATCTCTCTCTCTCTCTCTCTCTATATATATATATATATATATATATATATTCTATTAGTTTTGTCCTTCTAGAGAACCCTGACTAATATACCTTCTATTGTTTTCACCTTTCTCTGGTTGAAAAGATGATCATTATGGTGGCTTGGAAGCCATACGTTGAATATTGTAAAACTTCCATAGTCTTGGACTCTGAAAGATGGCGTGGACCAGTTATTGACCAGGAATGTTGAGCATAACATGTGAGGAAAATAAACTTCTATCCTTTTTTGAGTCATAGCATTTTGGGAGGGTCTTTGTTATGATACCTTTTAAATCTAAGAAATAAAATTTTTTCTACCTCTGCCCATCTGTCTTTTCACATTCCATCAGATCTATCATATGCAGCACGTTCATGTCCTGCTCACATCCTCTTAGCACTCACTGTGTCACTGCATACCACAGGGCCCTCCTGCAAATGACTGCCACTTTCAGTCTCAAGGCTTTCCCTCCTCTCACCTCTGAAAGTAATAGGAAGTTACACCCCAGGAGCAGTCCTTGGCCACTGATGGACTGGAGTTTGAAGATAAATACTCCAGCTTTCCTGAAGATTTCCTTGGGAAACATCATTTTAGGCATGTTTTACATTGTCTCCTTGACTTCTCCAGCAAGATTGCATTCTAGTTGCCCACATATTTAACTTGATTGATAATACAGTCCTCTGTCCCTTATTTGTATTATTTCCTTCTTTCCCTGACAACACTTCTTGGGAACAACTCTCGAAACTCTCAAATAAGCTGCTTATCCTCAATTTTTTTTTTTTTTTTTTTTTTTTGAGACAGTTTTACTCTTGTTGTCCAGGCTGGAGTGCAATGGCACGATCTCAGCTCACCGCAACCTCTGCCTCCTGGCTTCAAGCAATTCCTCTGCCCCAGCCTTCTGAGTAGCTGGGATTACAGGCATGCACCCCTATGCCTGACTAATTCTGTATTTTCAGTAGAGACGGGGTTTCTCCATGTTGGTCAGACTGGTCTCAAACTCCCAACCTCAGGTGTTCCACTCACCTTGGCCTCCCAAAGTGCTGGGATTATAGGCATAAGCCACCGTGCCTGGCCTTATTTTTTGAGATATGCTAGTTGAGGAACTCAAGGTAGTATGCAAAGTTCTGATCCTAATCTATCCCTTGATTTAAAAAAAATAATCTGGAATTAGAGAGTTTGCCAGTCAGTTGGTGATAACAACTCCATCAGAAACTCTTTCTGAGCTCTTGTGAATGGCCTTTTGAGGTAACCCTTAGAACCAGCTAATACAGGAGCTAAACACCTGGGCCTGGATCAAGAGTGGTTTGCTTGATATGTTGGTGCAAGCAGAAAAAGGAAAACTACCGCATTTGCTACTCAGAGGTGGAAAGATAGCAGTGAGGAAAAGTCTTCCCTAATGGGCAAAACTTCATTTGGTACATCTTGTCATAAACTTTAGGGAAGGAAGAAATGGTCAGAGATAAAGAAACTCCTGGGAACTGGTGCATGACTTAGTAACTGATGGATGTTCACCCTGGCATGCACAGCATCACAATTGCTAAGGCTCTTACCTGTGATGAATTGTAATAAAATACCAGTGAAAAGGGATGCACTGGCTTATGCTATAGCTCTAGCCCTTGAGAGACATGGTGGAAATGATTATTATTTACATCTTGGAGTTGATTGACTATTGTTAACTGCCCCAGATATTTTGAAGGAAGACTATGAGAGGATCAGGTCAGCTACCAATTAACAAAGGGATTGTGCAAAAGCCGGAAAGCCTCCACAGCAATAATAAAGAGAATCACAAATCTTGCACAGAAGGGAACAGGATCTGCTGAAAATCAGAAATTCCTGATTTTAATTGTTGCGCTGTTATGCAGATTTAAATTTACAGTCCTCTTACATCATGTCAGGACTCTGAGAGGGAAGGAGTGGACCCTTAGAGCTAGATGAAGATACTTGGGTGCATGGACATGAAAAGCTTGAATTCCCATATTATCCCAGGTATTCTACATCAGCAAGAGTCCCCCCATCTCACCACCACTCCTCTCAAGAAAAGAGAATCCAACCCTTCCTTATTTGCATGCTTACCTTCCTCAAGATCTTCCACTGCTTCACCCCATTGCCTTTAGACCAATAAGTAGAGTTGTTTCGGCATGGCCCAAGTAATGAAATACTGTAATGGAACAAAAGGAAAAGAATAGTTTACCAAAAGAGCAGTAGGAACTGGTAGAAATATACTACCAGAAATTGGGAGAATATGCCTCATAATTAATCTTGAAATGCTATACCAGGGGTAGGGGATGGGAGAATGGAATATAAGGCTAGATAGTGAACACTAAGAATGTATTAGTCCATTTTTGGCTGGACGTGGTGGCTCATGCCTGTAATCCCAGCACTTTGGGATTACCCGAGGCGGGTGGATCACAAGGTCAGGAGATTGAGACCATCCTGGCTATCATGGTGAAACCCTGTCTCTACTAAAAATACAAAAATAAAAATAAAAAAAATTAGCCAGGCGCGGTGGCAGGCGCCTGTAGTCCCAGCTACTCAGGAGGCTGAGGTAGGAGAATGGCATGAACCCGGGAGGCAGAGCTTGCAGTGAGCTGAGATCGCGCCACTGCACTCCAGCCTG
Organism: Homo sapiens; assembly: GCF_000001405.40. Lineage (NCBI taxonomy): Eukaryota > Metazoa > Chordata > Mammalia > Primates > Hominidae > Homo > Homo sapiens. The sequence goes on from NC_000012.12 coordinate 72,698,764, forward strand.
GGTGACAGAGCAAGACTCCTTCTTAAAAAAACAAACAAACAAAAAACACAATGTATTAGTCCATTTTCATACTGCTATGAAGTTATACCTGAGACTTGGTAATTTATAAAGAAAAAGAGGATTAATGAATTCACAGTTCCACATGGCTGGGGAAGCCTCATGGAAGGTAAGGAGGAACAAAGACACATCTTACATGGTGACAGGCAAGAGAGTGTGTGCAGGGGAACTGTCCTTTATAAAACCATCAGATCTCATGAGACTTACTGACTAGCATGAGAACAGCACAGGCAAAACCTACCCCCATGATTCAGTTACCTCCCCATGACATGTGGGGATTATGGGAATGACAATTCAAGATGAGATTTGGGTGGGGATACAGCTAAACCATATCATGCCACCACTGACCCCTGACAAATCTCATGTCCTCACATTTCAAAACCAAACATGCCTTCCCAACAGCCCCTCAAAGTCTTAACTCATTTCAGCATTAACTCAAAAGTCCACAGTCCGAAGTCTCATCTGAGACAAAACAAGTGTCTTCTACCTATGATCCTGTAAAATCAAAAGCAAGTTGGTAGCTTCTTAGATACAATGGGGATACAGGCACTGGGTAAATACACCCATTCCAGATTGGAGAAATTGGATAAAATGAAGGGGCTACAGGCCCCATGCAAGTCCAAAATCCAGTGAGGCAGTCAATCTTAAGGCTCCAAAATGATCTCCTTTGACTCTGTCTCACATCCGTTCACACTGATGCAAGATGAGGGTTCCCATGGTTTTGGGCAGTTCTGCCCCAGTGGCTTAGCAGGGTATAGCACCCCTCCTGGATGCTTTCATGGGCTGGCATTGAGTGTCTGTGGCTTTTCCAAGTGCATGGTGCAAGCTTTCAGTGGATGTACCATTCTGTGGTTTGGAGGATGGTGGCCCTCTTCTCAGAGCTCCACCAGGTAGTGCCCCAGTGGGGACTCTGTGTGGGAGCTCTTACCCCACATTTCCCTTCTGTACAGCCCTAGCAGAGGTTCTCCATGAGAATTCCACCCCTGCAGCACACCTCTGCCTGGACACCCAGGTGTTTCCATACATCCTCTGAAATCTAGGTGTAAGGTTCCTAAACCTCAGTTCTTGATATCTATGTCCCCTTAGGCATAACACCATGTGTAAGCTACCAAGGTTTGGGGCTTGCAATCTATGAAACAGTGACTTGAGCTGGATATTGGTCCCTTTTAGCCATGGCTGGAATGCAGGGCACCAAGTCCCGAGACTGCACAAAGCAGCAAGGCCCTGGGCCTGGCCCACAAAACCATTTTTCCCTCCTAGGCCTCCTGGCTTGTGATGCGAGGGCTGCGATGATGTCCTGGAGACATTTTCTGCATTATCATGGCAATTAACGTTTGGCTCCTTATTACTTATGCAAATTTCTGCAGCCAGCTTGAATTTCTTCTCAGAAAATGGTATTTTTCTTTTCTATCACATTGTCAGGCTACAAAGTTTTCAAACTTTTATATTGAGCATCCCTTTTAAGCATAAGTTCCAATTACAAACCATATATTTGTGAATGAATAAAACTGAATGCTTTTAAGAGCACTCAAGTCACATCTTGAAACCTTTGCTGCTTAGAAATTTTTTCCATCAGATATCCTCAATCATCTCTCTCAAGTTAAAAGTTCACAGATTTCTAGGGCAGGGACAAAATGCCACCAGTCTCTTTGCTGAAGCATATAGCAAGAATCATATTTACTCTAGTTCCTTACTTCCATCTGAGACCACCTCAGTCTGGACTTTTTGGTGAAGACCATTCAACAAGTCTCTAGGAAGCTCCAAACATTGCTGCCTCTTTTTGTCTCCTTCTGAGCCTTCCAAAGTGTTCCATTCTCTACGTGTTACCCAGTTCCAAAGTTACTTCCAAATTTTCAGGTATCTTAATAGCAGTACCCCACTCTTGTTACCAATTTACTATATTAGTCTATTTTCATACAGCTATGAAGAAATACCTGAGACTGGGTGGTTTAAAAAGAAAATGAGGTTTAATGGACTCACAATTCCACATGGCTGGGGAGGCCTTACAATCATGACAGAAGGCAAAGGAGGAGCAAAGGCATGTCTTCTATGGTGGCAGGCAAGAGAGTGTGTGCAGGGGAATTGCCCTGTATAAAACCATCAGATCTTGTGAGACTTATTCACTATCACAAGAACAGCATGGAAAAAACCCACCCCTATGATTCAATCACCTCCTACTGGGTCCCTCACATGGCACATGGGATTATGAGAGCTACAATTTGAGATGACATTTGAGTGGGGATACAGCCAAACCATATCAATGGATATGGGGGAGTAGTCTGTCATAACTCAGGATTAAAATTCTGGAAATGTGATCATGAGCTGCTTCTATCATATTATTGGGATAACTGTTTAAAGCTTGGAATGGCAGCCTAAAGTAAATAAACTTGCTTTAGCAGAGTGTGACAGAAGGGGTGAAAACCTCAGAGAACCAATCAGGTTAAAATGAATTTATTATCTAACTCTGGAAAATATATCATCTGAGTATGTTTCCTGGAAGGACCTAGAGGACACTCTTTTTACTAAAATGATAAGGAATTCACCACTGACAAAGGTGCCAACATTGATGACAAGTATACTTGTGGCTGTGTCTATGGTTCTGGGTTGATGATAGAAGATTTTTATATGGAACTTGTGCCTTTGGGGGCAATATGGATAACAAAATCATGCCATATTTGATATCAGGTGACAGCACCTAACCATCAGTTGCAAAGCATATCTACTTATAATGATGGGTAGAAAGGTCTGGATGACATGCAGAGGACCTACATTGTAGATCTATTATACGTAATCAGTCATAGAGCTAGGGATGAGATAGACAGGTAGCCAGCAACCAGCATGATTTGACCTGTATCGGGGTCAGCTGACTACAGCCTGTGGGTGAAATCTAGTCTTTTGTCTGTGAAACATGACCATGTCCATTTATTTACCTACTGTTTATGTCTGTTTTGTGCTACAATGGCAAAGTTAAGTAGATAAAACAGAAACTGTATGGCCTACAAAACCGTGAAATATTTACTGTCTAGCCCTTTACAGGAGAAGTTAGGACCCTGACCTATATAATCAAAGAAGGTCAAGAACAAGTGAGAAGATTGATGTCAGCCTCTATAATGGAAAATCACAATCCTTGTTTCCAGACCTTAGCCAGTTTTCAGACTCAGAATTATTGACTGAAGGAGAGAAAGAACTCAGGAGATGAAATATACATAAAAGGCAATAGCAACCCACACCACCATTCCTTTGTCTCTAATAAGATAGCATACATTGCGAAAAGGAGAAATACATAGATCTCCTGAGACAGCACTTAGATACAGATTCTGTGCTGACATTAACACCAGAGTACCATAAAATCAACATGGACACCCTTGTCAAGGGAGGCATACAGAGGCCAAGTGATAAATGAAGTCCTAATTCACATCCCTTTCACACGCATACAGTGTAGTAATTTTTCTGGTATCTAAAGGAATGTTCAGTTTGGATAAAGTTTCTAGATGTATAAACCTCACATTGGTTCCTTCACCAGAGACTCTTGTTTGTTGTTTGTACCAATGAACTCTTCCTAAGCTCACAGACACATTGTCTTTGAGGATTCCTTGGGAATAGCTGATGGAATTGCAAAACACCTAGGCCTGGATCATGGACAGAATGTTTAAATGTTTGTTCAACCAAAGAAAGTACTTCTGTCACACTGCTGTCACTTGGGGTGGCACTAAAAGTTGGCAGTGAATGAAAAGTTTTCTACTGGGCAGAGGCTTACTCAGTATATTTGACAGTAATTTTATGTTAAGAAAGAAGTGGTTTGAGATACTCAAAATACTGGGAAGAACTGAGTAGCTTGACAGCTTGTTCAGGAATCTGCAAAATGCAGGTGTTGATTGAAAACAAGAAGATATAGGTAAGAGGCATGCAAATGGACACATATGGGAGTGATTTAAAGGCTTGTTAATTTTTTTTTTTTTTTTGCTTTGGGACAGTTTTCACTAGATGTGTAAGTTTCAAAGAAGCTACTAAAATCAGATGGACTGAGTTACTAATTTCATATACACTAGCCAGCCTCTGTTCTTCTAACCTAGTACTTACACGAGTGGCCCATGAATAGAGAAGTCATGTTGGCAGGGATTTGGGCTGTGTAAAAGACCAATAGCATGAGTTCCCTTTTGCCAAGGATTATCTGCTGCTGAATGTCAGACTGCAGAGGTATCACACAGCTACAGAGTTATCACTAAACTGCCAATACGGTATCATCTTTTGAGGAATCCAACCCGTCACTTGGTGGCTAATTATATTGACAACAGTTCTTCCTTACTGATATTGATATGCCTCCCCTGCCTATAGTGCCTCAGCTAATAGCATTGTCTGAAAGTTCAAAGAGTATCTGATTTATTGTTAAAGGTTCCTCATTGTCAGGCCTTTGAGCCCAAGCCAAGCCATCGCATCCCCTGTGACTTGCACGTATAGGCCCAGATGGCCTGAAGTAACTGAAGAATCACAAAAGAAGTGAATATGCCCTGCCCCACCTTAACTGATGACATTCCACCACAAAAGAAGTGTAAATGGCTTGTCCTTGCCTTAAGTGATGACATTACCTTGTGAAAGTCCTTTTCCTGGCTCATCCTGGCTCAAAAAGCACCCCCACTGAGCATCTTGTGACCCCCACTCCTGCCTGCCAGAGAAAAAACCCCGTTTGACTGTAATTTTCCTTTACCTACCCAAATCCTATAAAACGGCCCCACCCTTATCTCCCTTCACTGACTCTCTTTTCCGACTCAGCCCGCCTGCATCCAGGTGAAATGAACAGCCATGTTGCTCACACAAAGCCTGTTTGGTGGTCTCTTTACACGGACACGCATGAAATTTGGTGCTGTGACTCAGATCGGGGGACCTCCCTTGGGAGATCAATCCCCTGTCCTCCTGTTCTTTGCTCCATGAGAACGATCCACCTACGACCTCAGGTCCTCAGACCCACCAGCCCAAGGAACATCTCACCATTTTTAAATCAGGTAAGCGGCCTCTTCTTACTCTCTTCTCCAACCTCTCTCACTGTCCCTCAACCACTTTCTCCTTTCCACTCTTCAATCTCTCCCTTCTCTTAATTTCAATTCATTTCATTTTCTGGGAGAGACAAAGGAGACACGTTTTATCTGTGGACCCAAAACTCCGGCACCGGTCACGGACTGGGAAGGCAGCCTTCCCTTGGTGTTTAATCATTGCAGGGACGCCTCTCTGATTATACACCCACGTTTCAAGGGTGTCAGACCACACAGGGACGCCTGCCTTGGTCCTTCGCCCTTATCAGCAAGTCCCACTTTTCTGGGGAAGGGGCAAGTACCTCAATCCCTTCTCTCCTTGTCTCTACCACTTCTCTGCTTTTCCGGGGACAGGGCAAGTACTCCAACCCCTTCTCTCCTTGTCTCTACCCCTTCTCTGCTTTTCTGGGAGAGGGGCAAGTACCCCTCAACCCCTTCTCCTTCACTCTTAGCAGCAAGTCCCGCTTTTCTAGATGAGGGGCAAGTACCTCAACCTTGTATCTCTGCGCCCCAATCCCTTATTTCCACGCCCCAACCTCTTATATCTCTGCGCCCCAATCCCTTATTTCTGTGCCCTGACCCCTTATTTCCATGCCCCTACCCCTTATTTCTGCACCCCATCCCTTATTTCCATGCCCCGACCTCTTATCTCTGTGCCCCAACCCCTTTTCCCACTTTTCTGGAAGGTAAGAACCCCCAAACCGCTTCCCTCCATTTCTCTACTCTCTTTTTTCTCTAGGCTTGGTTCCTTCACTATAGGCAATCTTCCACCCTCCATTCCTCCTTCTACTCCCTTGGCCTGTGTTCTCAAAAACTTAAAACCTCTTCAACTCACACCTGACCTAAAACCTAAATGCCTTATTTTCTTCTGCAATGCTGCTTGACCCCAATACAAACTCGACAGTAGTTCCAAATAGCCAGAAAATGGCACTTTGAATTTTTCCATCCTGCAAGATCTAAATAATTCTTGTTGTAAAATAGGCAAACGGTCTGAGGTGCCTGATGTCCAGGCATTCTTTTACACATCAGTCCCTTCCTAGTCTCTGTGCGCAGTGCAACTCGTCCCAAATATTCCTTCTTTCCCTCCCGCCTGTCCCCTCAGTACCAACCCCAAGCATCGCTGAGTCTTTCTAATCTTCCTTTTCTACAGACCCATCTGACCTCTCCCTTGCTCCCCAGGCTGCTCCTCGCCAGGCCGAGCTAGGTCCCAATTCTTCCTCAGCCTCTGCTCCTCCACCCTATAATCTTTTTATCACCTCCCCTCCTCACACCTGGTCCGGCTTACAGTTTTGTTCCGTGACTAGCCCTCCCCCACCTGCCCAGCAATTTCCTCTTAAAAAGGTGGCTGGAGCTAAAGGCATAGTCAAGGTTAATACTCCTTTTTCTTTATCCCAAATCAGAAGCGTTTAGGCTCTTTTTCATCAAATATAAAAATCCAGCCCAGTTCATGACTTGTTTGGCAGCAACCCTGAGATGCTTTACAGCCCTAGATGCCAAAATGTCAAAAGGCCGTCTTATTCTCAAAATACATTTTATTACCCAATCTGCTCCTGACATTAAATAAAACTCCAAAAATTAAATTCCAGCCCTCAAACCCCACAACAGGACTTAATTAACCTCGCCTTCAAGGTGTACAATAATAGAAAAAAGTTGCAATTCCTTGCTTCCACTGTGAGACAAACCCCAGCCACATCTCCAGCACACAAGAACTTCCAAACGCCTGAACTGCAGTGGCCAGGCATTCCTCCAGAACCTCCTCCCACAGGAGCTTGCTACATGTGCTGGAAATCTGGCCACTAGGCCAAGGAGTGCCCGCAGCCCGGGATTCCTCCTAAGCCACGTCCCATCTTTGTGGGACCCCACTGAAAATCGGACTGTTCAACTCACCTGGCAGCCACTCCCAGATCCCCTGGAATTCTGGCCCAAGGCTCTCTGACTGACTCCTTCCCAGATCTTCTCGGCTTAGCGGCTGAAGACTGACACTGCCCATTCGCCTCGGAAGCCCCCTAGACCATCTCGGATGCCAAGCTTCGGGTAACTCTCACAGTGGAAGGTAAGCCCGTCCCCTTCTTAAGCAATGTGGAGGCTACCCACTCCACATTACCTTCTTTTCAAGGGCCTGCTTCCCTTGCCACCATAACTGTTGTGGGTATTGACGGCCAGGCTTCTAAACCTCTTAAAACTCCCCAACTCTGGTGCCAACTTAGACAATACTCTTTTAAGCACTCCTTTTTAGTTATCCCCACCTGCCCAGTTCCCTTATTAGGCTGCGACCCTTTAACTAAATTATCTGCTTCCCTGACTATTCCTGGACTACAGCTACATCTCATTGCCGCCCTTCTTCACAATCCAAAGCCTCCTTTGCGTCCTCCTCTTGTATCCCCCCACCTTAACCCACAAGTATAAGATACCTCTACTCCTTCCTTGGCGACCGATCATGCACCCCTTACCATCTCATTAAAACCTAATCACCCTTACCCCACTCAATGCCAATATCCCATCCCGCAGCACGCTTTAAAAAGATTAAAGCCTGTTATCACTCGCCTGCTACAGCATGGCCTTTTAAAGCCTATGAACTCTCCTTATAATTCCCCCATTTTACCTGTCCTAAAACCAGACAAGCCTTACAAGTTAGTTCAGGATCTGCGCCTTATCAACCAAATTGTTTTGCCTATTCACCCTGTGTTGCCAAACCCATATACTCTCCTATCCTCAATACCTGCCTCTACAACCCATTATTCTGTTCTAGATCTGAAACATGCTTTCTTTACTATTCCTTTGCACCCTTAATCCCAGCCTCTCTTTGCTTTCACTTGGACTGACCCTGACACCCATCAAGCTCAGCAAATTACCTAAGCTGTACTGCCACAAAGCTTCACAGACAGCCCCCATTACTTCAATCAAGCCCAAATTTCTTCCTCATCTGTTACCTATCTCGGCATAATTCTCATAAAAACACACGTGCTCTCCCTGCCAATCGTGTCCGACTGATCTCTCAAACCCCAGCACCTTCTACAAAACAACAACTCCTTTCCTTCCTAGGTATGGTTAGCGCGGTCAGAATTCTTACACAAGAGCCAGGACCACACCCTGTAGCCTTTCTGTCCAAACAACTTGACCTTACTGTTTTAGCCTAGTCCTCATGTCTGCCTGCAGCAGCTGCCACTGCTTTAATAGTTTTGGAGGCCCTCAAAATCGCAAACTATGCTCAACTCACTCTCTACAGTTCTCATAACTTCCAAAATCTATTTTCTTCCTCATACCTGACGCATATACTTTCTGTGCCCCGGCTCCTTCAGCTGTACTCACTCTTTAAGTCCCACAATTACCATTGTTCCTGGCCCTGACTTCAATCTGGCCTCCCACGTTATTCCTGATACCACACCTGACCCCCATGGCTGTATCTCTCTGATCCACCTGATATTCACCCCATTTCCCTATATTTCCTTCTTTCCTGTTCCTCACCCTGATCACGCTCAGTTTATTGATGGCGGTTCCACCAGGCTTAATCGCCACACACCAGCAAAGGCAGATTATACTATAGTATAAGCCACTAGCCCGCCTCTTAGAACCTCTCATTTCCTTTCCATCGTGGAAATCTGTCCTCAAGTAAATAACTTCTCAGTGTTCCATCTGCTATTCTACTACTCCTCAGGGATTATTCAGGCCCCCTCCCTTCCCTACACATCAAGCTTGAGGATTTGCCCCACCCAGGACTGGCAAATTAGCTTTACTCAACATGCCCTGAGTCAGATAACTAAAATACCTCTTAGTCTAGGTAGATACTTTCACTGGATAGGTAGAGGCCTTTCCTACAGTGTCTGAGAAGGCCACCGCAGTCATTTCTTCCATTCTGTCAGACATAATTCCTCAGTTTAGCCTTCCCACCTCAATACAGTCTGATAACAGACGAGCCTTTATTAGTCAAATCAGCCAAGCCATTTTTCAGGCTCTTAGTATTCAGTGAAACCTTTATATCCCTTACGGTCCTCCATCTTCAGGAAAGGTAGAATGGACTCGTGGTCTTTTAAAAACACACCTCACCAAGCTCAGCCACCAACTTAAACAGGATTGGATAATACTTTTACCACTTTCGCTTCTCAGAATTCAGACCTGTCCTCAGAATGCTACAAGGTACAGCCCATTTAAGCTCCTGTATAGACGCTCCTTTTTATTAGGCCCCAGTCTCATTCGACACCAGACCAACTTAGACTGTGCCCCAAAAAAACTTGTCATCCCTACTATCTTTTGTCTAGTCATACTCCTATTTACCGTTCTCAACTACTCATAAATGCCCTGCTCTTGTTTACACTGCCGGTTTACACTGTTTCTCCAAGCCATCACAGCTGATATATACCTTTTATACCTTTATTTCTCCTTCTCTTATTCCATGTAGTTTTTCAGTTCATACAAAACCGTATCCAGGCCATCACCAATCATTCTATACGACAAATGTTTCTTCTAACAACCCCACAATATCACCCCTTACCACAAGACCTCCCTTCAGCTTAATCTCTCCCACTCTAGGTTCCCACGCCGCCCCTAATCCCGCTTGAAGCAGCCCTGAGAAACATCGCCCATTCTCTCTCCTTACCACCCCCCAAAAATTTTCGCCGCCCCAACACTTCAACACTATTTTGTTTTATTTTTCTTATTAATATAAGAAGGCAGGAATGTCAGGCCTCTGAGCCCATGCCAAGCCATCGCATCCCCTGTGACTTCCACGTATAGGCCCAGATGGCCTGAAGTAACTGAAGAATCACAAAAGAAGTGAATATGCCCTGCCCCACCTTAACTGATGACATTCCACCACAGAAGAAGTGTAAATGGCTGGTCCTTGCCTTAAGTGATGACATTACCTTGTGAAAGTCCTTTTCCTGGCTCATCTGGCTCAAAAAGCACCCCCACTGAGCACCTTGCGACCCCCACTCCTGCCTGCCAGAGAACAAACCCCGTTTGACTGTAATTTTCCTTTACCTACCCAAATCCTATAAAACGGCCCACCCCATCTCCCTTCACTGACTCTCTTTTCAGACTCAGCCCGCCTGCACCCAGATGAAATAAACAGCCTTGTTGCTCACACAAAGCCTGTTTGGTGGTCTCTTCACACGGACGCGCATGAAAGATATTATATGAGTTTCTATATGAATTTCATGCATTTACACTTCTTTTGTGGTGGAATGTCATCAGTTAAGGCAGGAACTGGCCATCTGGATGTGTATGTGCAGGTCACAGAGGATATGATGGCTTAGCTTGGGCTCAGAGGCCTGACATTCCTGTCTTCTTATATTAATAAGAAAAATAAAGTGAAATAGAGGTAAAATGTTGGGACGGTGAAAATTTTTGGGGGGTGGTATGGAGAGATAATGGGCAATGTTTCTCAGGGCTGCTTCGAGCGGGATTAGGGGTGGTGTGGGAACCTAGAGTGGGAGAGATTAAGCTGAAGGAAGATTTTGTGGTAAGGGGTGATATTGTGGGGTTGTGAGAAGAAACATTTGTCATTTAGAATTATTGGTGATGGCCTGGATACGGTTTTGTATGAATTGAAAAACTAAATGGAATAAGAGAAGGAGAAAAACAGGTATAAAGGTCTAAGAACTGGGAGGACCTAGGACATTTAATTAGAGAGTGCCTAAGGAGATTCAGCATAGCCCTGCCAGCAGAGATTATTTATTTGCTTCAAGAGTTAAGAGTGGCAGTTTGGGGATAGCACCAGGAGATATCAACTGTGGTGGCTTAGAGAAATAGTGTAAACTGGCAGTGTAAACAAGAGCAGGGCATGTATGAGTAGTTGAGAATGGCGAATAGGAGTATGACTAGACAGAATATACTAGGGATGACAAGTGTTTTGGGGCAGAGTCCAAGTTGGTCTGGTGTCTGGAATGAGACTGGGGCCTAATAAAAAGGAGCATCTATACTGGAGCTTAAATGGGCTGTACCCTGTAGCATTCTGAGGACAGGCCTGAATTCTGAGAAGGGAAATTGGTAAAAGTATTGTCTAGTCCTTTTTAAGTTGGTGGATGAACTTGGTGAGGTATGTTTTTAAAAGACCACGAGTCCATTCTACCTTTCCTGAAGACTGAGTACTGTAAGGGATATAAAGGTTTCACTGAATACCAAGAGCCTGAAAAAAATGCTTGGCTGATTTGACTAATAAAGGCCGGTCTGCTATCAGACTGTATAGAGGTGGGAAGGCCAAACCGAGGAATTATGTCTGACAGAAGGGAAGAAATGACCGTGGTGGACTTCTTAGACCCTGTGGGAAAGGCCTCTACCTATCCAGTGAAAGTGTCTACCTAGACCAAGAGGTATTTTAGTTTCCTGACTTGGGGCATGTTGAGTAAAGCTAATTTGCCAGTCCTGGGCGGGGGCAAATCCCTGAGCTTTATGTGTAGGGAAGGCAGGGGGCCGGAATAATCCCTGAGAAGTAGTAGAATAGCAGATGGAACACTGAGAAGTTATTTCTTTGAGGATAGATTTCCACGATGGAAAGGAAATGAGAGGTTCTAAGAGGCGGGCTAGTGGCTTGTACTATAGCATAGCCTGCCTTTGCTGGTGTGTGGTGATTAGGCCTGGTGGAACTGCCATCAATAAACTGAGCGTGATCAGGGTGAGGAACAGGAAAGAAGGAAATATGGGGAAATGGGATGAATGTCAGGTGGATCAGAGAGATACAGCCATGGGGGTCAGGTGTGGTATCAGGAATAATGTGGGAGGCCAGATTGAAGTCTGGGCCAGGAACAATGGTAATTGTGGGAGATTTAACAAAGAGTGAGTACAGCTGAAGGAACCAGGGAGCGGAAACTATATGTGTCAGGTGTGAGGAAGAAAATAGATTTTGGAAGTTATGAGAACTGTAGAGAGTGAGTTGAGTATAGTTTGTGATTTTAAGGGCCTCTAAAATTATTAGGGCAGTGGCGGCCACTGCACGCAGACTTGAGGGCTAGGCAAAACAGTAAGGTCAAGTTTTGGATAAAAAGGCTACAGGGCACGGTCCCGGTTCTTGTGTAAGAATTCTGACTACACAGCCTTGCACTTCAGCTGTGGATAATGAAAAGGGTTGGGATCAGTCAGGGAGAGCTAGGGTGGGGGCAGTTTCTAAAGCTGTCTTCAAGGAACAGATAGAGGAGTGGGGGAAAGGATTTAGGGTCTATGGGGTCAGCTAGGTTTCCTTTTGTGAGTTATATAATGGTTTTGTTAGGATGGCAAAACCAGGTATCTAAAGTCGAAAGTATCAAGCCATTCCTAGGAAGGAAAAGAGTTGTTATTTTGTAGAAGGTGCTGGAGTTTGAGACATCAGTCGGACATGATCGGCAGGGAAAGCACATGTGTTTTTATGAGAATTATGCCAAGATAGGTAACAGATGAGGAAGAAATTTGGGCTTGACTGAAGTAATGGGGGCTGTCAGTGAAGCTTTGCGGCAGTATAGCCCAGGTAATTTGCTGAGCCTGATGAGTGTCAGGGTCAGTCCAAGTGAAAGCGAAGAGAGGCTGGGATGAAGGATGCAAAGGAATAGTAAAGAAAGCATGTTTCAGATCCAGAACAGAATAATAGGTTGTGGAGGGAGGTATTGAGGATAGGAGAGTATATGGGTTTGGCACCATGGGGTGGATAGGCAAAACAAATTGGTTGATAAGGCGCAGATCCTGAACTACTAACCTGTAAGTCTTGTCTGGTTTTAGGACAGGTAAAATGGGGAATTGTAAGGGGAGTTTATAGGCTTTAAAAGGCCATACTGCAGCAGGCGAATGACAACAGACCTTAATCCTTTTAAAGCGTCCTGTGGGATGGGATATTGCCATTGAGTGGGGTAAGGGTGATTAGGTTTTAATGAGATGGTAAGGGGTGCATGATCAGTCGCCAAGGAAGGAGTAGAGGTATCCGAAACTTGTGGGCTAAGGTGGGGAGATACAAGGGGAGGATGTGAAGGAGTCTTTGAACTGGGGGAAAAGGCAGCAATGAGGTGTGGCTGTAGCCCAGGAATAGTCAGGGAAGCAGATAATTTAGTTAAAGTGTCTCGGCCTAATAAGGGAACTGGGCAGGTGGGGATAACTAAAAAGGAGTGCTTAAATGAGTATTGTCTAAGTTGGCACCAGAGTTGGGGAGTTTTAAGAGGTTTAGAAGCCTGGCTGTCAATAACCACAACAGTTATGGAGGCAAGGGAAACAGGCCCTTGAGAAGAAGGTAATGTGTGGAGTGGGTAGCCTCTGTATTAAGAAGGGGACGGACTTACCTTCCATTGTGAGAGTTACCCGAAGCTCGGCGTCCCTGATGGTTTAGGGGGCTTCTGAGGCAATCAGGCAGTGTCAGCCTTCAGCCGCTAAGCCAAGAAGATCTGGGAAGGAGTCAGAGAGCCTTGGGCCAGAGTTCCAGGGCTCTGGGAGTGGCTGCCAGGTGAGTTGAACAGTCCGATTTTCAGTGGGGTCCCGCAGAGATGGGACGCGGCTTAGGAGGAATCCCCGACTGTGGGCATTTCTTGGCCCAGTGGCCAGATTTCTGGCACTTGTAGCAAGCTCCTGTGGGAGGAGGTTCTGGAGGAACGCCTGGCCACTGTGGTTCAGGTGTTTGGAAGTTCTTGTGTGCTGGAGATGTGGCTGGGGTTTGTCTCAGAGTGGAAGCGAGGAATTGCAACTTTTTTCTATTATTGTACATCTTGAAAGCTAGGTTAATTAAGTCCTGTTGTGGGGTTTGAGGGCTGGAATTTAATTTTTGGAGCTTTATTTAAAGGCAGGAGCAGATTGGGTAATAAAATGTATATTGAGAATAAGACGGCCTTTTGACCTTTTAGGGTCTAGGGCTGTAAAGCATCTCAGGGTTGCTGCCAAATGAGCCATGAAGTGGGCTGGGTTTTTCATATTTGATGAAAAAGAGCCTAAATGCTAACTGATTTGGGAGAGGTCGGATAAAGAAAAAGGAGCATTAACCTTGACTATGCGTTTAGCTCCAGCCACATTTTTAAGAGGAAATTGCTGGGCAGGTGGGGGAGGGCTAGTCGTGGAATGAAACTGTAAGCCAGATAGGGTGTGAGGGGGGGAGGTCATAAAAAGATTATTGAGTGGAGGAGCAGAGCCTGAGGAAGAATTGGGACCTAGCTCGGCCTGGTGAGGAGCAGCCTGGGGAGGAGGGGAGAGGTCAGATGGGTCTGTAGAAGAGGAAGATTAGGAAGACTCAGCGATGCTTGGGGTTGGGACTGGGGACAGGCGAGAGGGAAAGAAGGAGGATTTGGGATGATTCACATTGGGAACAGAGACTAGGGAGGGAACAATGTGTAAAAGAATGCCTGGACGTCAGACCATTTGCCCATTTTACAACAAGAATTATTTAGATCTTGTAGGATGGAAAAATTGAAAGTGCCGTTTTCTGGCTATTTGTAACCACTGTCAAGTTTGTACTGGGGTCAAGCAGCATTGTAGAAGAAAATAAGGCATTTAGGCTTTAGGTCAGGTGTGACTTGAAGAGGTTTTAAGTTCTTAAGAACACAGGCTAAGGGAGAAGAAGGAGGAGAAGAAGGAAGGTTGCCCATAGTAAAGGAGGCAAGTTTAAAGAGAAGTGTAGAGACAGGGAGAAGGGGGTGGGGAGCAGCCCTGGGCTGCAACATGGGTGATCAGCCAAAGCAGGCGTCCCCGCAATTGACTTGCCACCAAGGGAACGTGGGTGAATGATCAAGGCAGGCATCCCCATGGAGATCAGACACCAATGGAAAATGGGTGAATAGTCAGAGAAGAGTCCCCGCAGTGATTCAACACCAAGGGAAGGCTGCCTTCCCAAGTCCGTGACCGGCGCCGGAGTTTTGGGTCCATGGATAAAATGTGTCTCCTTTGTCTCTACCAGAAAATGAAAGGAATTGAAATTAAGAGAAGGGAGAGATTGAAGTGTGGCGCCAAGATTGAAAGGAGAAAGAGGTTGAGGGATAGTGAGGGAGGTTGGAGAAGAGAGTAAAAAGAGGCTGCTTACCCGATTTAAAATTGGTGAGATGTTCCTTGGGCTGGTCGGCCTGAAGACCAGAGGTCATAGGTGGATCTTTCTCATGTAACAAACAGCAGGAGGACAGGGGATTGATCTCCCAAGGTATGTCCCCCGATCTGAGTCACAGCACCAAATTTCTCTCCCGTCCCTGTGAAGAGACCACCAAACAGGCTTTACATGAGCAACAAGGTGTTTATTTCACCTGGGTGCAGGCGGGCTGAGTCTGAAAAGAGAGTCAGTGAAGGGAGATAGGGGTGGGGCCGTTTTATAGGATTTGGGTAGGTAAAGGAAAATTACAGTCAAAGGGGGTTGTTCTATGGCAGGTAGGGGTGGGGGGTCACAAGGTGCTCAGTGGGGGAACTTTTTGAGCCAGGATGAGCCAGGAAAAGGAATTTCACAAGATAATGTCATCAGTTAAGGCAGGAACCGGCCATCTGGAAGTGTATGTGCAGGTCACAGGGGATATGATGGCTTAGCTTGGGCTCAGAGACCTGACAGTATCACCTAGGACTAAGGACCCACTATTGGATTAAGGCAGTATAACAAGGGGCATGTGATCATGAGTTCCAAAGGTCAGAAACTGTTAGCCTTATAGTGTTGGAAAAGCCTCTCAAAGTGCACATAAGGTGTCATCTGGAAAGGACATCCTTCAGTATTAAGCATTGTTCTTCAAAATGCAGTATATACTTTAAATCAATGGTCATTTTATGCTACTGTGATGTAAATAGCTAAAGTACATGAGTCTATGAAACAAGTGGTGGAAGTACAATAGAATGTCTCCAACTCAACATTACTCCTCTTTATTCTTGTCCTTACAATTTATTCCTATAAGACTAAAATTTTTGGTTCCTTTATGAGGTAAGGGGAGGGATGGGGGTACAAGTGGGAGCATAGTGAATGTTCAATTAAATACAAGCTGAAGCTGCTACCTGATGATTTTAGGTTTCTTATGCCAGCAGACCAACAGGCAAATAAAGGAATGACTATACTGCCAGGAGTAGTTGACCTGATTGTTACATAGACACCATGATGCTGTAACATATTTGGGCAGTGAAAAGTATTTCAGGACTCAGAAGATTTAGTAGGTTGCCTCTTGCTGCTTTCATTTGCAATGATAATCGTAAATGAGAATTGCAGTAAACAAGGTTTGACAAGGGCACAGTGACCAGGGGCTCAGATACCTCATGATAAAGGTCTGGGATACCCACCAAACATGCAATCTAGGATAACAGAATAATGTTCAAGGGTGAGAAAAATCTAGAATGAGTGCCAAAAACAGAGAATAAATACCTAAAATAGTAGCTTGTCCCATGAAGTTTCCTGACTTATAAGTAATTTTTCTTTTTTTTCCCCTAGAAATTTTGACTGTCCACTAGCCTAAAGATGAAGTGATAGCTCTTAGTAATATAACCTTGGCATGTGAGTAGATCTGAACAATGCAAGATGTGGACATTAGCAGAAACTGTTGGCACTCGTCTAATATTCCCTTAGCATTATTGTTCCCATACATTGTCTCTTGCATCTGAAAACACCTCTGACTCTATGTGAGGGCTTCCTCTCCAACCTCCCACAGAGCAGGCCATAAGTGTTACGCTTCAGCAAGTAGCAGGTGAGATTTGGAAGATACATACGCCAGTATCCTTACCTCTCCATGGAAAGCAACTCTGAGGCTGGATTAATCTCAGTTTTCCTGTCTGAATGAGGCTCAGATGTCCACAGAGATCATGTGCTTAATAATAATCCTTTTATTGTCTTTCTTCCCTTCCCTGTCTCCTTTCCTCATTCCTCTCTTGGTTTTTCCTGGAATTAGCTCTAGTAAAAGACCTGCACTGAAATCTTTATCCTAGGGTCTCATTTCAGAAAAGTTCAGCTTTAACATAATACATTTTTCATGCCACAATACTTTACATTCTGTTTTGTCATTACAATTAGTATTAAAGGCTTTGTTTAAAAATAAAAAAAAAAACCCAAAGGGAAAGCACAAAGCCAAAAGGCACTAAACAGAGGTCACATGATTAAGATCAGTGATATATTGTTTGCTACATGACAACATAGGACCATAATTTCTTTTCCTTGTGTCCAATGTTAAGGCTTCTAAGCCACTTAAAGAAAAAATCTGAAATACAATTGATTCTCTTTTCTCACATTGCATCAATTTGCTTTAAAAATATACATTTTGATTTATTTTACATATTAATTTCAGGTGTTGGAGCTCAGGAAATGATAGCCCAAAATATGCCACTTTGCATTTCAAACCAAGAGCACCTTAAGAGCAGCAAATGCAGGAAAGGACTTTTTTTGAAGTTCCCTTATGTGACTAAGGGAAGTTCCTCTAGAAGGAATGCAATTGTCATGAGCCCCCATCCCTATTGTCTCATCAAACTGGAAAGATTAACTCATAGGAAAGGATACTCAAGGTCCACATCATCTATTCTTCTGACAACTGCTACCTCAGAAATTATATTTACGTTACGAGGCAACTTTTGTTCATCATGCATTTCCTCCCCTAACCCTCCCATAGCTTATGTTGCCAACTCCCCTTGAGAAACCCCAAGCCCCTATTTCTTTCTGCAGCTCAAAATGCTATTTAAGCTTCAACCATCTGGCCTTTCTTTGAGTCTCATATTTTGTGTGGATCCCATGCATATGTGCACATAATAAATTTGTAAGTCTTTTCTCCTATTAATCTGTCTGCTGTCAGTTTGTTCCAGAGACTCAAATTACCAAAACTTCAGAAAGTGGAAGAAAAGTTTCCCTCCCCTCTGCAGTTTCAGTGAGAAGCCAGGAGAACAAATCTCTCTGCTCACTCTGAAGGCTGTGAGACCCTGAGACCTGGGGAAGCTGGCAAAAGGTAAGAATTATTGTCAAGTCAGTCTCCTGGCTTTCTGCCTGTGGAGTCTAGTTGAGCAAGTGGCGGGAGTCTTTTTCCTTTCCAAATGTAGATTAGCAGGAAAAAAAGTGTATGTAAATGAGTTCTTGTATAGCGACTTTGGTGTTTTTATTTTTAGTGTGAGTATTTTTGTTTTATGATCCCTTCCCTCCATAGATGGTCTTTGTTTTTCTTTGCCTTCATCTTTTGTGTCATTTTGTTATAAAGAGAAAAGCTATAGCACACAGGCATAGATCCTGTAAACCTGCTGTTCAAGCCAGCCTTGAACTGCTGAGTTCACAGTTCTCATCAGACCAGCTTCTCCTTAGACAAAATTTCCTGTGGGTGCCCAACACAAAAACTGGATGAGAGATTCTCCTTTTATATTGTTTTGTGTCTTGGGAGCTTGGCTTTGTGACCCAGTGAGGAAGGACGTCTCTTTCTTGTTTCTGCCACCCAGAGGGGTGCAATTGTCAGGTTGCATCAGTCTGCTAGTCAAAAAGGGTCATAACCCAAGATGCAAAGTTCCAAGCAAGATTCTCTTTGTCAGGCTGTTCCATCTCTCAGGGGAGTTTATCTTAAGAGGCCCCAGTCCATAAAGGCTTTTGTCATCATAACTTTTGTTGCCTGGAGAGTGCTAAGAAAGCCCAATCCCAATAATGCCTGCCCAGCCAGTGTCACAGATGATCAGATTTCTGACTGGAGGCACTCCATGTGGCACCCCATGTGTCCATAGGAGTCTGGAATCACTGTATTCACAGATACAATCCTTAACTGTTTGTGGTAATGAAAAGTTTCTTTGCTTTCTTTTTCTGTCTCTGGGAGTAAACTTTCTAAATTGGTGGCAGGGCTGCATCTTGTGCACCCACTTTGACAATGCCATGGTATTCTAAATCTGAAAAGTTACCTCCATGTCTTTCCATGAAGAAGGATTATTGGTTTTAGTCACTTTTGGAATAAATTGGCTATGTTTTAAAAGATGTTTTTGAGAAGTTTTTTTTAATGAAAGATAAAATTAAAAAGAGGATACAAAGAAATGTAATGGCTAACTTTAGAGAATTTCTTGGCAAAATTAAAAGCAGAAATCAGTTAAAATTCATAAATTCCCTTCCTCTAAGCTGAAGATCTTTTGGATCTCTGAGCCCCTGGTTTAAAATTTCCTTCCTCTGAATCTAGCTCTATTTCCTCAGGAAATTTCTATAGCTCCAGAGAAAAGCATTTATAAGAATTCTTTTGAATAAATTTACAAGAATTAGTTTAAATTAATTGTTTTGAATTGGTCTGACTCTTGATTTTTGGGGTACCCATTTGTTAGTGATCCTTTTTTCTCCTATGAACAGCTTTTGTTTCCCTGTTTATCTTAGCAACTGATGTCTTTTTAAAAACTCTCTCTATTTTGGGGATACAGGTTATGGGAACTTTGTGTATAGGCTACCAACGAAAAGGTTGAGAGCTCTAAGAATATGGCTGAACAGAAATGTGAGTGGTGCCTCATTTACGGCTAAGTACACTAACTGTTGAAGCTTTTCTTTCTTTTTGCCTATTTTTGGGATCTTGAAAGGGCTGAATCTTTTTGCTTTCTCTTAGGAAACCTTGGCTAAAGCCATGAAAAGACTTAATAATTTTGCCTTGCATATTAGTTTTGGTCTTGA
Source organism: Homo sapiens (assembly GCF_000001405.40). Classification (NCBI taxonomy): domain Eukaryota; kingdom Metazoa; phylum Chordata; class Mammalia; order Primates; family Hominidae; genus Homo; species Homo sapiens. Next base: position 72,718,336 of record NC_000012.12, read on the forward strand.
GTCACTTGTAGATATACCTTTGGTTTAGTACTTTGGTTTATATTCAGAGTGTGATAGGATTTTTTTTGTCTTCTCTCCTAAGCTAAAATGGAACCCTATACTCAGAATGTAAGAATCAAGTTTATTAAAATATTTCAAAGATGAACAGCTCTAAATCTAAAACAGATAAATCTTTTGATTTACATTTTAGTGGGAAATCTTCTCCTAGTTTAAAAAAAAAACAGCATAAAGATAAAGCAATTAGACAGATCGGTCAGTCTCTTGGTATCATTCAATCTGCATCCCAATTCTTTGAAGAGTTAAAAGCAACTGTTAGGGTTTTACAAATTGAGACTTTTACAAAAACAGGAATATACGTTTAGAGGCAATTTGAAGCCTACTTATTTTTATCAACCCCAAAACCTCAGCTATCCATCTCAGGATGCCTGCAGATACTGTAAAATGTCAGAATATTGGATCTTAAATTATCCTGCACTTGAGATAATGAAGGAAATATAATTTTAAAAAGAGCTCTGTGGTCAGAAGTCAGCTTAATTCAAAACTGATATTCAGGCTATATTTTTTTGTTTGTTTGTTTGTTTTGTTTTGTTTGGAACTCTGATTCTCTCTATAGGATCCTGCTTTTCCAATGTGAACATCTCAGTCAACTGAATTTCTCTTTTCTCCAAGCCATGCTAACTATATACTCTGCTCTCTATTTATACTTTATTTGCTGCAATGATTTTTGCTGAGGATAATATAAAACTTCATTGGCCTCTTTTGGAGACTCAAGATCTTTCCAAACTGGCTCCTCTATAAGACTTGTTCTTTCATTTCCTTCTGCTCCTCCTTCCTTTTGCCACCTTCAATCTTCCATCTGGTTCCCTTGAATCCTTGATATGTTCCCCTTCAAGCCCCTGCTTTCTTCATTTGGTGGGCAATGAATGAAAATTACTAAGAGGATACCTGAGGGGAGTAAGAAGTATTTTTTTTTTTTTTTTTTTTTTTAGACAAGGTCTTGCTCTGTCATCCAGGCTGGAGTCCAGTGTTGTGAACATGTCTCACTGCAGCCTCGACCTCTTGGGCTCAAGCAATCCTCCCACCTCAGCCTCCAGAGTAGCTGAGACTACAGGCACATATCACTATGCCTGGCTAACTTTTGTTGTTTTTTGTAGAGATGATGTTTTGCCACATTGCCCATGCTGATCTCAAACTCCTAAGCTCAAGCCCACCTCCCATGCCCAGCTGGATTCACATATCCATAACCAAATGTAGTTAGACTTCTGAACCTTCTCTAGGTCCATCTGTGTATTTCTTTGTAAAATTCTGCAATGAAATTCTATAATTTTATGTTACCTGGGCATCCATTTTAAATCCTCCTCTATGTCTGACCTTACTGACACAACCTAAACTTCTTCTTGGAAAAACTTGCATTATTTTCTCTTCGCCTTTGATATGTTGATTTCCTATCGCATCTTCTCTAGAACTTAGTAGCTATCTTTTGGAAATAAATTTCAGGGTAATGACTCACCAGAAAAATTAAGTCATTTAAAAATTGACCAAATAAAAAATATTGAAGGCTTTTTTACTATTAGTAAAGGGCTTTAGCCATGTGAGCAGGTTCACTTAACTTGCAAAAGCACAATTTAGATGCAACTGTTCTTTATAAACTATTGAGTTGTATGTTATTTTACCTGTCTCATAGCTAAAATTTGTTAAATGAAACCTATAAGACCTTTGTTTATGTCTGTCTGTATTTTTATGTACACATGTGTACATATTTTGTTGTGTCAACAATGAACCCATCTTTACAGAATTATGATGGCAAGAGAAATATGACATAGTTAACTCTATCTTGCTTCTAACCTCTAAGCTGTCCTTGCCATGCCTGGGGATAGGCCAAGCCAACTTTGGAAGAAATTTAGTTTATAGTTTCACTTTAAAGCAAGGCCGATAATAGCTACTCCCAAAACTAAAAGGTCTTTGTAAAAGTAATGAAAGTACACAAGGTTAAGATTATGAGAGGGGCCTTTATTTTGTTAAGATGCAGACATAGGTAAATAATAAGCAGACATTCTTCCAGAAGAGAAAGTCAAGCCTGCTGCAGAATTTTGCATAAGTAATGAGGAGCTAAATGTTAATCAACAAGACAATGGGGAAAATGTCTCCAGGGCATGTTAGAGACCTGTGCAACAACCCCTCCCATCACAGGCCCAGAGGTTTAGGAAGAAAAAATGGTTGTGTGGGCCAGGCCCAGGGTCCCTCTGCTGTGTGCAGTCTAGGCACTTGGTGCCCTGCATTCCAGCTGTTCCAGCCATGACTAAAAGGGGCCAAGGTACAGCTTGGGCTGTTGCTTCAGAAGGTAGAAGTCCCAAGCATTGGCATCTTTCATGCAGTGTTGAGCCTGTGGGTGTACAAAAGTCAGGAACTGAGATCTGGGGACCTCTGCCTAGGTTTCAGAGGATGTATGGAAATTCCTGGATGCCCAGGCAGAAGTTTGCTTCAGGGGGGTCCCTCATGGATAACCTCTGCTAGGGCAATGCAGAAGGGAAATGTGGGGTCAGAGTTCCTACACAGAGTCCCTCCTGGGGCATCACCTAGTGGAGCTATGAGAAGAGGGCCACTCTCCTCCAGACCCCAGAATGGTTGATACACTGACAGCTTGCACTGTGTGTCTGGAAAAGCCGCAGACACTCAATGCCAGCCCATAAAAGCAGTCAGGAGGGAGGTTATACCCTACAAAGCCACAGGGGCAGAGCTGCCCAAGGCAGTGGGAGCCCACCTCTCACACTAGTGTGATCTGGATGTCAGACATGGAGTTAAAGGAGATAATTTTAGAGCTTTAGGATTTGACTGTCTCACTGGATTTTGGACTTGCATGATGAATATAGCCCCTCTGTTTTGGCCAATTTCTCCTATTCAGAATGTCTGTATTTATCAAATGCCTACACCCCCATTGTATCCAGGAAGTAACTAACTTGCTTTTGATTTTACAGGCTCATAGGTGGAAGAGACTTGTCTTGTCTTAGCTGAGACTTTAGACTGTGGACTTTTGAGTTAATGCTGAAATGAGTTAAGACTTTGGGGGACTGTTGGGAAGGCAGTCTTGGTTTTGAAACGTGAGGACATGAGATTTGGGAGGGGTGAGGGGAGGAATGATATGGTTTGGCTCTATGTCCCCATCTAAAACTCTTCTTATAGCTTCCATAATTCCACATGTTGTGGGAGGGACCTGGTGGGAGATAGTTGAATCATGGAGGTGGGACTTTCCCATGCTTTTCTGCTGTTCTTGTGCTAGTGAATGAATCTCACAAAACTGATGTTTTTAAAAATAGGAGTTTCCTTGCACAAGCTCTCTCTCTCTCTTTGCCCACTGCCATTCATGTAAGACATGACTTTTCCTTTTGCCTTCCACCACGATTGTGAAGCTTCCCCAGTCATGTGGAACTGTAAGCCCATTAAAGCTCTTTGTTTTGTAAATTGCCTAGTCTTTGGTATGTCTTTATCAGCAGCATGAAAATGAACTACTACAGTACACAAGGACCATTTTTCATATTTCAATAATGATGGCATTCTCAACCAATCAGCATCACTAATTCCCTAGTCCCCCTTCCACCAAACTGTCCTTGAAAATCTCTAACCTCCACAGGGAGATTGATTTGAGTCATAACTTCATCTACGTGGCTTGGCTAGCTTCACATCAATTAAACTCTTTCTTTACTGCAGGGCCATGGACTGACTGATTTTGTTTTGCCTGTCCATCAGGCAGGACAAACAATTAAGTAATTACAACATGGTTTGGAATCTCTTCACAAAATCCTATTATTGGAGGGTGGGAAGAGGGGGAGAAGCAAAAAAAAAAAAAAAAAAAAAAACTGTTGGATACTAGGCTTAGTACTTGTGTGATGAAATAATCTGTACAACAAAACCCTGTGACAAAAATTTACCCATATAACAAAGCTGCACATGTTCCCCTGAATCTAAAATAAAAGTCAAAACAAAGTTAAAATAAAAAGTTAAAAAAAGAAATATGTGCCTAGTATTCTTTTGTTGTTTCTAACATGTTATTTTAATAGGAACAAAAATTCTATTAAAATTGTTTTAAAGATAAATGAGCACTCATAAATTAAATACTCCTGAAACTGCTAAAAATATAGGAACTAACAAATGCTTTGCAAGCCCATGTGACTTGGGTAAATCTTTGGCAAATAATAATAGTGTTGGTTTACTTAAAACAGGCATATCTGTCAGCATTAAATATAATGCAGAAACACGATATTTACCTCTATTAGGTGTTTAAGATAAAAAAGGTATGAGTTTAATCTAAGAACAAAAGTGTGAATAAGAATACAGCACAACATCCACCACTTCATACATATTAAGTGCAGTGGTAAATCAGAAATCAACTGAATCAACTAGTTGAATCAACTAGTATTCAACTCTAGTCTTCTTTGTTTGGTTCAATAAATATCTAAATCATTTCCAAATAAAATACTAAACCATCAGTTGCTAAATATAAGTTTATTTACTTTTGGCTTATTAAGTTTTATAGAAAAACAAAAATAATTGGATGTGTTAAACATGAAAAACTGTTCTACAAATAGCCCATGTTTCTAGAAATCATGAAATTTATATTCATAAAATGTTGGTACATGACAGCTCAAAATTGCTTACTTCATAGGTTTTCATTGGAAATTAGGGTTACTAACACTTAAAAATCTAATATGTAATTAGAAGTACTAAATAGAAGAGAAACAATATTGTATGCAATGTATACAAGGAGAGTAAACTAAAAAGTGATAAGGTATACAAATGTGTTTTTGTTGAGAAAGTAATTTTGTCTAGTTTGGAGGTTCAGAATGAATAAAGTAACAAATGATATACATAACACTGAATGAATATGGAAGTTGTAGAGAGTTTATAGAAGATACATCTTATAAAAGGAATTTTATGTGTGATCAAGCTTGCTAAGATTAGAAAAAAATTATAAGCTTTTCTGAAAATGGGCCTTAATACAGAAGTACACTGATGCAAAACTAGAAATTGGTCTTCTCTTTTAAACAAGATTTCTTTGTAGCATTCATGATATAGCAAAATACTTTTGTTGAGTTTTTGATTTTGATTAATCAAAAAGACATTTGTTATTTCATCAAGATGATTCCTTGTGCTTCATGTTTTCTTTATTAGGTCTTTGATTACTTAGGAAAACAGTTGTCTTTATTAAAAAGTTAAAGTTTTTTTCCTACAACTGTGTAACTTTCTTCATTTGCTTTTCAAATCTTTTAATTATCACTTTGGTTAAATAAATGATTACTGTTTTACAGTGACTTCTGAACCTGTTTTGATCAAGTGTTTAAAATCTTTATTGTGATCAAACAGTTTTAAAAAACTGAGGTTGACTTTATATAGCCAATAAAGCACCCTTTAAAAATTGGCCTGGTACCTTCAATACATGGCTCTCTTACAAGTTTCCTAGCCTTGTAGTAAGTAAAAGATTGTCACTTCCAGAGAGTCTCAAGAACCTCATATTAGGGGGACTACAAGATGGGAAGTATTCACTCAGATGAAGGAATTCACTACAGCTGAAATTTGATGGTGAATCATTGCCTTGCCTTCCTAGCCTGGAGAGGCTTTTAAGAGTCATAGCTGAGATTCCTTCTTGAAAGTTTCAGTCAAGCAGACTTAAAACCTTATGTGACCAATCACTATTCTTGCTGCACTTATGTAAATAATCAGGCCAAATTTAAAGAGAGTAGAACTATTTTTACAAATAAGTTAGTTTCTCCGTGATAATTTTTGGTAAAAATGGGGGATTATGTAGAAAGAAAATTATGTTTCAGAAAGAAAAAGTACAGTGTGCTTGTTATGAGATTCTAGTACCCTGCTTTTGAGATTTTATTATTTACCTTCAATCTGGACTGGATTCTTAATTTTTTCAGTTTCCTCCAATACCTGGCAGCAACTCTCCAAACTAACATTTTCAATTTTTCTCCCATTTTGTTAATTTCTAATCACCGAAGCTAAAACTGACATTATCATGATGCCATGCAAGCTAAAGCTTGTCAACCTGATAAATAAACTCCAGAGAAATAACGTCTTAAAACCTGTCAGATTGACACTACCTGCCCCTACTCAGATTGAAGATATTTTGAGCCCAGAATCTAGAAATCCTTTCAACTGGCTACCCTCTGGACTCAGGAACTAGTGTGTAGACTGGTCCAAACACTAATGTTGGTTTTTCCTTTGTTTCCTTAGAAATGCCTCTTCAGTGGGTTATTGGACATTTTTGTAAGGTTCAGCCTCATATCCTTTATTCTAAGCCTTTTCTCTATTTCTTTGCAACCCTAGTTTTTGTCCATTCCCCAGTATTTTGTCAAATATTGATTCTTCCTCATTTTTCTCTTTCCTGTCCTTTTGGAGCCCCTATTACACATTTTAAAATCTTTTCCCCTAAACTTACATATTTCTGCAATCATTTTCCATGTTTTCTATAATTTTGTTGTTTTTGCTTATCTATAGGTGTTTTTTCCAGATCTCTTTTTCATTTCATAATTTTATTTCTGCTACCAGGTTTAATAAGCAGCTAAACATTCATAAAGTTCTTAAATTCAGTTCTGTAATGTTTTCTGTTAAATTTCAGAATAAATTCACAGTTGTTCTTGGTTGGGAATGAAGCAAATGTTAATCTAAGACAAGGTTGTCTGTTCCTGCAGGAATATAAATAAATGAATGACTATTCTATACCTGCACCTTTTCATTTTTGACCAACAAATACAGTGAATTGTCAATTTGATTTTTTGATATTTGTTTGGGGAGTTTTGCAATTATGAGATTAATCCCACATGGTCATGTTGTATTTTTGTTTAATACATTGTTAAATCCCATTGTTATTATTTTTAAGATTCTTGCGATAATCATTTTTAGATTATAGTTACCCTTGTCAGTCTGGTTTTGTAAAATAAATTTCAAAGCTTTTTCCTTCTCTATGCTTTTGGAAAGTGTACATAGTAGTAAAGACACAATAGAGTATCTTAATTTTTGAAGGTGAGAACTGGGAGCCCTGAATATCTAGAGCAGTGGTTCTCAACCAGGGGCAATTTCCCCCCTACCTCCATGAAACATCTGCCAATGACTGAAAACATATTTGATTGTATAGTATAGTTTGAAGTCAGGCAATGTGATGCCTCCAGATTTGTTCTTTTTGCTTAGTTTTGCTTTGGCTGTGCAGGCTCTTTTTTGGTTCCATGTGAATTTTAGGATTATCTTTTCTAGTTCTGTGAAGAATGAAAGTGGTATTTTGATGTGAATTGCATTGAATTTGTAGATTGGTTTTGGCTGTATGGTCATTTTCACAATATTGATTCTACCCATCCATGAGCATGGGATATGTTTCCATTTGTTTGTGTCATCTATGATTTCTTTCAGTATTGTTTTGTAGTTTTCCTTGTAGAAGTATTTCACCTCCTTGGTTAGGTATATTCCTAAGTATTTTATTTTTTCACAGCTATTATAAAATGGGTTGAGTTGTTGATTTGATTTTCAGTTTGGTCTCTGTTGCTGTATAGCAGAGCTACTGATGTGTACATTAATTTTGTATCCCGAAACTTTGCTGAATTCATTTATCAGTTCTAGTAGTTTTTTGGAGGAGTCTTTAGGGTTTTCTATGTGTATGATCATATCATCAGCAAACGGCGCCTATTTGACTTCCTCTTTACCAATTTGGATGCCCTTTATTTCTTTCTCTTGTCTGATTGCTCTGGCTAGGACTTCCAGTACTATGTTGAATAGAAGTTGTGAGAGTGGGCATCCTTGTCTTGTTCCAGTTCTCAGAGGAAATGCTTTCAACTTTTTTCCATTCAGTGTGGAGATTCCTTAAAGAACTAAAAGTAGAACTACCATTTGATCTAGCAATTCCACTACTGGGGATCTACCCAGAGGAAAAGAAGTCATTATATGAAAAAGATACTTGCACATGCATGTTTATAGTAGCACAATTCGCAATTGCAAAATATGGAGCCAGCCCAAATGCCCATCAATCAGTAAGCGGATTAAGAAATTTTGGTATATATATATATGAATAGTATTCAGCCATAACAAGGAATGAGTTAATGGCATTTGCAACAACCTTGATGGAACTGGGGACTATTATTGTAAGTGAAATAACTCAGGAATGGAAAACCAAACATCTTATGTTCTCACTTATAAGTGAGAGCTAAGCTATGAGGATGCAAAGGCATAAGAATGATCCAATGGATTTTGGGGACTTGGGGGAAAGGATGGGAGAGGAATGAGGGATAGAAGACTACAAATTTTGTACAGCGTATACTGTTTCGGTGATGGGTGCCCCAAAATCTCACAAATCACCACTAAGAACTTATTCATGTAACTAAACACCACCTGTTCCCCAAAAACCTATGGAAATAAAAAAATGAAATAAAACAACAAATAAATAAATGTAAGATAAAATAAAACATTTGTAATGGAAGAAAACAGGTAGAAAAAGGAGAGGAAATTGAAATATTTTGCACGTATTTGTTAAAATTATAGTATTAATATTGATTCATTTTCCTTCAGGTGTGTTGGGTGTTGCAAGTGAAAGAGTAGCTAAAGACATCTCCCAGATTCTGGACTAGGAAAACTATATGAATAGCTGTGACATTAGACAAAATAAAGAATACAGGATAAAGAACAGATTGTTTGTCAATATGATAGATTTGCATCTAGTTTTATTGATATAGAGGCTCGACTGGAACTATACAGTGTGCAGTATGATTAAAAGATCTAGTATAATTTTTAAAATAGTACTTAAGAGGAGATGTGATCACAATTAGTGACTTATAGAAGACAGTAGAGAAATTGATCTTGTTGAACGCTAACACTTACAGTATTAACAAAAACAGAGGGGAAACCCTCAGAAGATTTTGTAAAGGAGTGGTCAGGGAGGTAGGAAGAAACCAGAGAAGAATGTTGATACACAACGCAAAGAAGGAAAATTTCAAAGAGAAGGTATTGGTAAATATTAGTATCAGAAATTAGTATCAAATAATAGTATCATATACATCAAAAATTGAATTAGGTCTGTACTTTTTAACTATGTAGCATCTAAAAATTCTGGGAGAGCAACTTCCATGTTTGGTAGATTCAAGTGGTAGTGGTTTGAATGGGAGGTTAGAAAGTGCCTTAGAGCTGTTAACATTGCTGTAAAGGAAGGATAAAGAATAATGGTTCCAGTAAAGAATATGGGTGTCAACCAGGGTAGATGAAAAATCAAGCATAAATGATTGCATAACTTTGCTACGTATATTAGCCTTTAATAGCAAAATGGTTTTTAGGTAAAATGCTACTTCCTTTCAAAATCTAAAAAAAAAAAAAATCTTATTTCCTTAAGTTACTTTTCTCATTTATATCTTTAAATTATGTATAAAATTTGTTGTTTTGATTGTAATGCTTCTTCCTGGCCTTTGCCAGAGAAATGTGCTAGGATATAGCACATTTAAATGATTTTAATGCTACATTCCAAGTTCTTCACAGAGATAACCCATTGTTTTTAATCTATTACACACTGGGAAAGGGAGTGAAAAAGTAGAATGTAAACTGATGTATTTTTCTACAGCATTTTTAATTTTCAAAGATTGGTTCAATAGCACCTAATTGCAGCATTTCCCACAACAGAATTTGAAAAGTGCAAACTCACGGGATTTTTTTGAGTCCTAAGGGTGATTACAAGAATGAAGAAAATCCCAATGGGCAGTTTATCATCATTATAGATTTAATGTACAATGTTCTACTGGTATGATATAAACAAAAATAGGAAAATGCAGTCTTCTCTTGATTAGCCATGTGCAGATTGTTTTGTGGGTTGTAGTCACAAATGTTTATTCCCAGTAGCCAACATCCTTGAGCGCTCTCACATTCTTACAGGGCTTGTGCTGCTGGGCAAAAAAAAATGCATTTTAATACTAATTTTAATATGAGAAACTTGATTAGCAAGATAAATCAGTTCACTATATATGTTTTTAAGACAGTTATATTTTGCATTATTGATAAAATGTTTTTTCCTCTGTGTGTGTGTATGTGTCCTATATATTTAATATATTTGATGCCAGAAACTTTCACCAAGAGATCTGGCTACTGGGAAACACCATCGCTGTGAAAACAAGCCATTATTTGATTTTTGTCTGTTTCCCCTACTTGGTTGTATGACTTGAGGAAAATGACTTAACTTCTAAGGGTCTCATTCTCAGATATGAAATTGAGACTGTAGATTACTTTGGGGGTTTTCTAAACTACAAATTAGGCTGGGCACAGTGGCTCACACCTCTAATGCCAGCACTTTGGGAAACTGAGGTGGGAGGAGTGCTTGAGCCTAGGAGTTTGAGACCAACCTGGGCAACAAACGGAGACATCAAAAAAAAATTAAAAATAAAATAAAAATAAAAATAAAAATTAGCCAGGCATGGTGGCACTCACCTATGGTCCCAGCTATTCAGGAGGCTGAGATGAGAGTATTGCTTGAATCCAGGAGGTCCCGTGATTGTGCCACTGCACTCCAGCCTGGGCAACAGAGCAAAACACTCTCAGAACAAACAAACAAACAAAAACAAACAGAGCCAAATATAAACTACAAATTAGTTAATGCATTCAGGTAAAGTGCTTAACACAGTGCCTAGAATTGAACAGAGTATCTGTTCTTTTATAATCTCACAGTGTGTCAGAAGCTTTTCCCCTTTAAGAGAATAAAGACATGCTTCTGTTCAGAAAGCTACCAAGAGCTATGCTCCAGAACTACAAGCATTTTTGTAAGGTTCAGCCTTGTATCCTTTATTCTAAGCCTTTTCTCTATTTCTTTGTAACTCTAGTTTTTGTCCATTCCTTATTTTCATTATATTCACTATTCATTACGTTCACTGCCTAGTCTCATGAAACTACTGCTTTATCTCTGGTTATCATCATTCAGATCTCCCTTAGTTCATGCTCTGTGACCTTCATGTTAGTCCTAGCATCATTGCCATATTTGGATACTAGGATCTGTTAAGCAAGAATTATGAGAGACTATTGTTTTGAGCTGATCTTTTGCAATGGGTCCTAATAGACCAGACCAAAGCAAAATGGCATCACTTATGCTAAGTGTCACATAATTATACTGAAATTTTAAGAAAGCAGTGGGATCCCCAAACATACCAGTTTTTCCTGAAAACAGTATATTCACAGCACCCAATCCAAGAGAGATCAGGCCACCCAAGTCAGTGTAACAAGGAAGTCCCCTGTGCTTTTACCCTTACAAGAAAAGAAACCTGAAATAACCTAATGTGCACAATAGCATTTTTTTTCTATTATCCTGTGTTGTTGTTTTTACCTTACAAATCCCACTGTTCTGTCAATTGCCCAGTGGGAGCTTTCATCTATTTGATAGAATAAAGGCTGCCCAATCCATGAATCATGAATAAAAGCCAACTAGATCTTTAACAAAATTTATTCTAATTTTGTCTTTCAACAGATTGCAGCCTTAGGCTAGCACTATAATCCATCTTTTCAGGAGGGGAGTTTGAATAAGAGTATTATTCAGTGACATGTTTTAATGCAACTTTCACCTATAAGAAAAGAGTCTCGTTGTATTGGCTTGCTTAACATTTGAGTTTTGAGGATTACTGTACCTACTTAAACAACTCTCTAATTACCACTTCCATTGTCATAAGCTGTGTTTCTCTGTATTATTCATAATCTTATAAGCCAGTGCTGATTAATAGGAAAAACTTTGAGGAGGACATATTCATTTTGTTTTCTCAATAAATATTTATTATGCAATTTATATTATGCCAAGAGCACTGGCTAGTTGTTTATGACTCTTAGCCCGTACTTGCTCATGTATACTCTTCTCTGTATTACTAGAACTAGAAAGCTGCAAATGATATTTCCCAGCTGATTTTTGGTTAAGCTATGTCACTGGGAAGCCCTGACCAGAGAGTAGATGACAAAAGAGATGTTATTTTAATTTTTGCTGCAGCAGGAGCATAATAGTCATAGTTAAAGAATTTAGAAAGTTCAGTGTAGCTGGAGTAATGCATGAGTGAGGGGAAATGGTAGTAAGATTCATCAAACAGTACAATAGAGATCAAATCATGTATGCAGGGCCTTGGAAGTATTGGTATTGTCTGTAGATTATATTCATGGTGTGATGGGAAGCCAGCAGAAGGCTTGAAGAAGAGGACTGATACAATGTTTTATGTGCTAAGAGAGAAATTAGCTGCTTGGTTGAAACTAGTCTATAGGTATGTGGAAATAAGAGCAATATCAAGGAAATCCGTTTGGAGGTTGTATCAGTCAGGCTACGTAACAACAGTGCAAAGTGTGCTGTGGCTGGAGGTATTTCTACATGCAGCATTGTAGGTTTTTTCAATTTCATGGCACCACCACACCAACAGGTGCTTCTACAGTTGCTGAAGAAGGGAAAGAAAGGTCTAGAGAGTCAGCAATGGTAATTAAATGACTTCATTTGGAAATGAAACAGATTATATTTGTACATATTTTACTTTCTCAGGCAAGTCACATGGCTGAGCAAGAATTTCTGTACCCACAAATAGAGAAGAACCAGATATTGGTTAACAAAAATAATGCCTCCCACAAAGGCTATTTCAGTATTATTGGAAAAAGATAATGGTAGCAGCAGTGAAGGGGTAGAAAATTGTCAGGACTGATATCTATTGGGGATACATTTTGATAGTAGAATTGGAAGATATGCTGATGAATTGCAGATGAGGTGTTAGAGAAATAGAATAGTTAAGAATGACCACAGAATTCAATACTAGAGGAATGTATGAATGGAGATGTCTTTTACTGTGATGGGGAATTCTTTGGAGTTGCAGATATGGATATGTCAAGTTTGAGGTGACAACTAGGCATTCAAGAAGAGATGTCATGAGTATAGCACTTAAGAGGAAATGATTAGGCTTGAGATATAAGTTTGTGAGTCATAAATATTAGATGATGCCTTAGTCTGTTTTCTCTTGCTATAACCGAATACCTAAGACAAGGTAATTTATAAACGAAGTATTGATTTCTTATACTTCTGGATGCTGGAAAGCCCGCAGTTGATGGGCTGCATCTGATTAGGGGCTTCATGCTGCTGAGGTGGTATGCTATTTCAAGTCTTTCTTTTCTTTTAAAACCACCAATACTATCATGGGAACCCCACCTTGATGGCCTTATCTAATACTAATTACCTCTCAAAGACCCCACCTTTTAATACCTTTACAATAGAGATTAAGTTTCAATATGAGTTTTGGAGGAAACTTCGAAACCATAGCAGGTGGCATTTAAACAAATAGACACAAAGGTGTAAACGAGGACCAGAAAAGTAACTGGATTTGAGGGTAAGTGAAAAAAAAAAAAGATGTTGAAAGTTACAGAATCTTTTTGTATCCATAAGATAGAAGATAATACTTCTCATTGTAACAGTGAGTAGTATAGGAAGAGCTAATGTAGGGTTAAGAAAATGCATTCATATTTTAGCATGTTGAGAATGAGGTGCCTCTAGATGTTGAGTTTATTAAGGGAGAGAGAAGGGACAAAGAATGGGGACAGAATCTTGAAAAATAATCCATACTCAGAGAGGAAAAAGGCAATTTAGAGACGTGTTCAATGAGATTGAAAAACCAGTAAGTTGTCGTAGAAATCAAGATAACTAAGAGCTTCATGAAGGAGGATGTGGTTAATAATGTCAAATGCGGTAGTTTGAAATATACAGTAAAATATAGAGAGAGTTTACATTATCTAACACATCGTGAGTTTGGATTATCTATATTTTCTTGTTTTCAAATCAGTTGACTTCAGTCAGCTTCAAGTCAAGGTGGTTTCTCTGTTTTATGAAGATTTCAGTGATTCTAGAGTTGTTTAGCTTTTTCAGAGGTTGAGAAGGAATAAGAGAGAAAAGCTCATTTTATCTTGCTAGTATAGAAAATCGTATTATTTAGTGTGCAATGGCCATAATAGAAAATGTTTATTGAGCTGTAATATGCCAGTCTGGAGGAGCAGGTTCACTGTGCACTGGTTATCAACTTGTCTAAGTCCATGGAGACAGAGCACACTCATATGCAACAAGTTATATGAAGTGGATTTATTATCTGCAGGTAAGTTTCAAGGAACAAGAGAACGCTAGGATCCCTTGTGAGCCAGTTCACTAAGGCTCAGGAAAGCTGCCTGGGGCAGATGGAATCATTACTCTGTGTGCCCCACTTGCATCACAGCTGAGGGGCCCCAAAAGGCAGACCATCCTAGATTATATAACTCAAAAGCAACAGGACCAGTGAGCAAAGCTTTGAAGGATATTCTGCTACTAGGGGAGTGAGAAACCAAGCCTCAGCTGTCTTAGACAGTTCCCCTTTAATTCAAGCTGTTACATTGCCTAGGAGGAATAGGAATAAGGCCGAGGCTGTTGCAAGCGGTTCCTCCCTACCTCAGAATATTGTATTCCCAACACATACTATGATTATTCTGAGAGCCACATGAAGGAAAAGCGGGGGGTTCCCTCTTTTCTTAGATCTTTTATTTGTCCTTGGATCTTTCCTGGATTAGTCTAAGGCCACCATAAGTAACTGTCCTGTAAGTCTCCCTTCTATATGCATTATATATATATATAATCTCATTTAAGATACACAATAATCTCTTATTTTAAAAGAAAACAAAAAAAACCCTATTAATCACACTTCCTCCTCTAGCTACTATTCTTTTTCCCTTCTTTTTTTTAATCAGTAAAATTTCTTGAAAGAGTTGGCTAGGAGTTGCTGTCTTTTGTCTCACGAAACTTTTCTCTTGACCTCATTTCAATAGTGCTTTTGTCTGCACCATTTTACCAAAATTTCTCTTATCCAGGTCAACAGTCATTCCCATGTTACAAAATTCAATAGTCACTTGCTGTTACTCATCTACTGATAGCAGTTGAAACTGTTGATTACTCCTTGGAATATTTTCTTCCTTGATTCTCTGGAATTATCTAAGTGCGCCTCCTTTTTTTACTAGCCATTTCTTCTCAGTGCCCTTTGTGGGTTTCTACTGATCTTCTCTGACTTCAAATATTGGAATGTCATAGAGTTTAGTTTTTAGACCCTGTATCTATCACACTAACTGCCCAGAAGAAGTCACACAGTGTCTTGACTTAAGATAATGGCTGCACATTGATGGATTCTAAATTTATATCTCCATCTTTTTCTGAACTTCAGTCTCCTACATGTAACTACCTACCAATGAGCATTTCAAATGTATTACATCCTTAACCTCTCTTCTCCATCAGCAGTGCTCCTCTTCTAATTTTCACTATTTCAGTATATGGTAATTTATTTCTGAGGCAAAACACCTTCTCTCTCTCTCCTACCCAACAGTCAATACATAAGTAAATTCATTTAAGTCTATGTTTTAATGACATCTTGAATCTGTTCACTGGGCTACTACATTAGTTGGAGTTACAATGATCTTATTTCTTAGACTTCTTTCTGTTTCCATTCTTTCTCTCCTACTGCCTTTTCAATTCATCAGCCAGGGCTATTCTATAAAACATAAACAAGCTTTTGTCATGTTTCTGCACAAAATCCTCCAATGACTTCACATATCAATCAAAGTCTTTACCTTGACTCAAGGCCCTGTATAATCTGCTACCTTCCCACGCGCTGCCCCTTATCTAATGAAAATCACCTTCTTTCCCCTCTGTCTTCCTTTGCTGAATCCTCATTGGCGACCTTGCTATTATTTGTATAAACCATACGTGTTCTTGACTCAATCCTTCCTACATGCTATTCTCTGACTAGAATGATTTTTTCCAGAACATTTACATAACTTGCTATTTCATTACCTTCAGACTCAATTATTTTGCTGAGATCTTCACTGAGAATCTTTTCTAAAATATCAACAGCCTCCCTACTTTCTTTCCCTTTCACTCTCTATTCTTTTACCTTATATTATCTTTGTTCCCTGACCAATTACATCTTTATTTATTGTCCCTTTCCCCCATGCAAATTCCATGAAGTCAGAGATTAAACTTTATTAATGCTATATTCCTGGTGCCTACAACAGATCACAAGAGAACTGAAAACAGACATAATTATCTCTTTAATTTTAGTATTAAATTATTTATCATATTATGAGATACCTGCTAATGTTATCTTTATTTACTCATTAGGCTCAGAGAGATTCAGAGCCCTGCTCAGTTAGTAAGTGGTAGAGATAGAACTCGAGTCCATACTGTTTTTAGTCCACAGTCCATATTTTCATTCAGTTTCTTGGCTATTCGCAGGCCCCTGCAACCTTCTATCCAGCTCTCCAAATCCGCCTGCTACATTTTTAGCAATTTGTGTTTCCCTTTATGTGTCCCCATGACATTCATTTTAACCTGATTTTATTTATAAAAATGCATTTATGGCAGCAAGAGGCACAATAAGATAATCTCCTATCCCCAGAAACTACTCCAATCATGCCTGAGCAGTATTTCACTGTCTGTGGAGAAGGCTTTGCTGTTAACTCCAACAATTAAGAGTTGGCAAAATTCCAGTAGTCCACAGGGCCTATGCCCTTATCATTTAGTTCTTAAAAATGAAAAGTAATTAGATAATTGGAAACAACTATGATATATAATAGCATTTGAGACCTCAAGAGAAATAAATAGAATAAAATGAATAAAAACTAGAAAAACCAATATAGACCATCTTGTCATTCTAGTTATGAGGATTCCAGGGGGAGAAAATGGATCACAAAAGAACTGAAAATAAACACGATTATCTCTTTAATGTTAGCCATAAGTATGCTTAGTCAGACTCTTTGTTTTTAACCAAAATCATCTTGAAAGGCAAACATTCATTGAATGCTTACCATTTTTCATGAGTATCAAACTTTCTTGGAGATTTGAAAGGTTTTATTGGAAAAATCCATTATAATGTACTTGAATAAAAAAGTAAACACAGTCTTTTTACATATATACACCAACAAATAAGAAAGGTGAGCATATCCAAGTCACTATATTACAGAATCAATATTATTCAAGATTCAGGAAAAAATTTTACCTAACTTTTATGTCCTTTTTTATGTGCATTTAGAAGATTCTAAGTTACTTTTTCTGTGGTACTAGAATGAACTCAAATTTCATTCCATTGGATTTATATAAATTCCATGAGTTGATAACAAGTTTAGTACAATATGAATCAGAAAAGTTTTATACCTATAACAACCACCTGTGTCTCTTCTCTTGCACTTTAACAAATATTTTCAAAATGTTATTTTTAAAAAATGAATTATTGCTACCATTACTATGTATGTTTTCAACTCAACAAGTCTTCAAAAAATTGCTTAGATATCCAAAAGGAAATAGGATTATGCCCTTTGAATTTATTTACCATGTTCTTTGAAGATAGCAATTTCCCTGCCTTAGAAGATAAAACAATGAGACAAATTCAGTCAGAAAATAAACTCAGTTTAGATAACTTGGGGAAAATAATTCGAATGCATTTATCAGAAATGTATTCAAAATATATTTTTGACATTATTGAGAAAAAACTATTTAAAAATATTTTATTTTCAATAGTTAACATATTTTAAATTTATTGACTTGTAAATCTGGAAATACCATTGGAAAAAAACACATCTGTTTGTTTACCATGGAATTTCTGAGGATGAGAATGCCCAGGTCTATTTTTACCTATATATTTGCTTATATAAAGATGCAGAGTTAATATGCACTAAGAACAAGAAAAGTCATTCTTGAAAATTATTGGACTGTTTACTGTGTTGTGATGCTGCAATATTATTTAAAGAATTATTCCCCTTTGAATCAATATAATTACTCAGTTGGGGTACTGTGGTCAGCCAGAGGGTATATCCAAATATTGCACTTTTGAAAATATTTCTATCTTGCTGTGTTGAAGACTGCATCCATTAGAAGGGTAGCCAGAAAATAAATACTACCTGCTGTTTAAGAATCATAAATTGCCTTGTCATGCTATTCAATGACAAACAGATAAAAAAGCAGATTAAATGAGTATGAAAAACAGATTAAATGCGTATGCAACATAAAAGCAAGTTCAAATCATTTGTGGAAAGTGAATATTATTTTAACTCAGTTCGTAAGTGGGAAAGAAAAGACTTTCATACTCAAATACAAGTACTGATGAAATCTAGAAGATTCTAAAAGATAAATATTCTTTTACCACTTCCAACATTGTGATTAGAGAAAAATAGATTTTTACAAAACCATTACATATTTCATGGCTAATACAAATATAATTTATTTCTGACTAAGTGTAATTCCAAACAGTTTTACTTAATAAAATAAATTTATTTTCAATTAATTTTCTATAACTATTTTAAGGCTGTATTAAAGAACCTCAGGTTGAATTGATATTATATTTCTAATGGCCTTAAATCTTTTTTAACGATGTGTATATTAATCAATAAAAACATATACTTCTTGGCCTTATAAAAAATTCTCTGGCCCCTGCAAAGTAATTCAATAACAATTCAGTTTGTATACATTACAACATTTTTATAGCCTAGTTTCCATTTGATCTATGAGCTCTGTAAGTGGCTTTAAGTGAGAAAGCCTGGTAGGAAGCATTTTGGGTAAATCAGAGTAAGAAAACCATGGATCTGCCTTTGTTACTCAAGAGAAGCACGCTAGAAGGGTTTTTCCAAGGCAAGACAAAGCTGGAAGCATTATTACCCAAACAAGTCCATGTACACATCGAGTTAAGTCACCAGTTACAGCTTAGGGGAACAAGAACACTCAGCAGTTCAGAAAAGAAAAATGGATGGAAATTCTTTGGGCTTTAATCTATTCTGGGTATACATTCTGAGTCCATGTCTCACAAGCTATAAGATCGTCAAGCCTCCAGGCTTCAGTTTTCTTTTCCGTAAAATGGGCTTAAAAATTATACTCAAGTCGGGCCGGGCGCGGTGACTCAAGCCTGTAATCCTGGCACTTTGGGAGGCCGAGACGGGCGGATCACGAGATCAGGAGATCGAGGCCATCCTGGCTAACACGGTGAAACCCTGTCTCTACTAAAAATACAAAAAAATTAGCTGGGCGTGGTGGCAGGTGCCTGTAGCCCCAGCTACTCAGGAGGCTGAAGCAGGAGAATGGCGTGAACCCAGGAGGCAGAGCTTGCAGTGAGCGGAGATTGCACCACTGCACTCTAGCCTGGGCAACAGAGTAAGACTCCGTTTCAAAAAAAAAAAAAAATATTATACTCAAGTCACAGAGTTATAGAATGAATTATATGAGATAATATGTATTAGGCAACTATCACCATGTCTGGCATAGAGAAAACACTGGATGCATACTGTGTTGGGTATTGTTACCGTATTATCATCATAAGTACCATCGTTACTATCATCATAGAAAGAATAGAAGCCAAGAAGTAGAGACCTTGTGAGGAATGCAATGCAGCACTGACAAGGCAGTTTAGGAAACGAAGTTGGCAAACTCTGGCATAAAGCAGATGTTTCTGTCATGCAGAGCTCAGCATGTACTTCCAGGGCAGGACAGCTCCTTAAAGGCACTGCTCCAGGCCAAAAATGAATCAGGAGGAGCATACATAGCCCCAAACTGTCGTCCACACTACCCAGCTAAAACTTGTCATTAAATACAACCCTTTTTAGGTCATGTGTTGACCACCCTGTGTGAGAAAAGCTTGTGTGACTTAGATCCTAGCCGAAAATACAATATCATCAAAATACTGTATTAAATTAGCAGGCATGGGAAAGAATGATGGAAATATAGCAGCAGTTAATCTTTTTCTAGCCATGTAGCAATCCAGCCTACATTTTTCTATTACAGCTGTACTAAAACAGATTCTCCAGCTTCTCTAAGAAGTGGGGAAATGAGGATCAACTAAGAAGTTACCTCATTAATATGCTTAAAAATGTAACACACACTACGGCTACGTGGTTTGACCTAAAACTTTTGTAAACTATAGGGTGTCAGGAATTACACTGGTAGGAGCCAGTTAACTAAAATTTGTTCACTTGAGAGGCCACGTGGGACACTGCTAGTAGGGTGGGTCCAGAGAAGTATTGTAAAGGGACTCCCTAAATACAGCTCCTGGCAATATTGCCTGGCTATTAGATGCTGGAGGTTAAATGCAGCAGGAAGCAGAATGGCGTTTTTAAAAAGTCAATTAAATTGTGTCATTGCCCTACTGAAAGCCTACTGAAAGCCCACTCCTATCACTTAAAAACAAAATTACATGCCTTAGAATTGTCTGAGTAGTGTTAAATAAAGTGACCTGGTTTACCTTTCTGAACTTATCTTTTAGAGATTGTCTCATGGCTGACTCTGCTTCATTCAGATCTCAGCTCAAATCCCACATTTCTGAGAGGTCCTTTCCCTGCCAATGACTCTCCATCATTTTGCTTGGCCAGTAGTCATGCCATACTGGCTGTTCAATATTTTGAATATTATCCTTACTATGTTATATATTTTGCTATATATATATTAATATATTACATATCAAACAAGTACTTTAAAAAGTACTCAAGTCACAGAGTTGTTGAATGAATTACATGAGGTAATGTATGTTAAGCAACTATCTCCATGCCTGGCACAGAGAAAACGCTGGATGCATACTTGTGTTTATTTTTATTGTATCATCATTATAATCAGCAGCAGCACAGAATGAGAAAAGAGGCCAAGAAGGAAGCTGTGACAAAATAGGGCAGGAAGCTAAGTTGGCAAACTGTTGGCATGAAGCAGATGTTTATCTCATGCAGGCCCTGTTGACTTCCTTTATAGTATTGATCGCTGTCTAAAATCATATTTGTTAACTTGATGTTTTTTTCTTCTATCTCTTCTTTAGCTCATAAGTAAGCCCCATGAGGGCAGGGACTTTTCCTGCTTTATTCTCTACAATTTCAACAACTCTTTGATATACCTTTGATATACCTTTAACATATGTAGCATAGTAATATATATTACATAATGCATTAAGTTAGTGCAGAAGTAATTGTGCAGTTTTTGGCAAAAACTGCACAATTACTTCTGCACCAACATAATAAGAGATTACTATATATTTTGTGTTATATATATATAAACGTGTGTACATATATATATGTGTATATATATATATGGAGAGAGAGAGAAATATATATACAGATTTCAAGTTTATGATGGTGTGAAAGAGACACACATTCAGTAGAAACCATACTTCAAGTACGCATACAACCTCTTTGTTTTCCACTTTCAGTACAGTGTTCAATAAATAACATGAGCTATTCAACAACTAATTTTAGTAGGTTTTGGGTTTGATAATTTTGCTCAAAAGTAGGCCAGTGTAAATGTTCTGAGCACATTTAAGGTGGATAAGGCTAAATTGTGGGTGTTCGGTAGGTTAGGTGTTTTAAATGCGCTTGTGACTTACAATATTTTCAACTTATTATAAGTTTATCTAAATGTAACCACATGGTAAATCAAGGAATATCTGCACATATTGATACATATAACTCAATAGATAATGATATATAATATAGTATAATATTTAGTATTACCTGAACACTGGCCAATCAGAAGGGAAACTGCTATACTGATGAAGCAAGTTCCTGGAGGTCCCTGCTGGTTCAAGCGTTAACCCGTTAGGTGATGCATCCATAAGTCTAAGAGCAATGATAGTCTGATGACCAGGTATGGTGGAGGGATATTCAGGAGCTTAGGCAGAAGCTATTTCCAAACTGGTAGAAGTATTTAACATTTTACTAACCAATGTGGCTTTACTAATTATCAATTGCTACATTACAAAGTACCCAAAACTTACTGATTTAAAATAACAAATTTATTATCTCATAAATTCTATGGGTTATAAGTTCAGGCAAGGCATAACTGGGTTTTCTGTTCAAAGTATCGCAAGACTGAAATTAAATGTTTTGGTCAGACTGCTTTCTGTTCTGGAGCTCAGGGTCCAGCTGCAGAGTCACAGAGGTATTGCAGAATTTAGTTCCTTGTGGGTGGATAGAAACTGAGGTTGTTATTTCATTGCTAGTTTTTGTCCATGGGCCACTCTCAGATACTAGAAGCCTTTCATAGTTGTAGAGGGGTAGCCCTCTCTTATAGCTGATTATTTCTTCTAGGAAAACAGGATAATCTCTAATATCAGGGAAGGCTTGTCCTCTTTAAAAGAGCTCACCTAAGAGTTCACCTCTGACCCTTCATGAAGCAGGGCCCCTGGCTCAGGATCACACATGAACTGCCCCATGTACTACTGAGCACATCCACTGGTATTGGCTCTGAGTTTCCCTGGGGAGGGCCACCCAGAGGCAACTGATAGCCCCTTTGCCACTACCACAGCAGTGGTCCTTCCTCTGATGCCCTCAGTCTGGGGAAGAAACAAAGAGCCTGAGGGCTCACTCCCTGCATGCCACAGTCACCATACGGACAGGAGCTCAGTCTCTCCTCCCTGTGAGCCCTTGACCCCTGCTGCTCCTCATCAAGCAGAACCTTCAGATCAGGCCAGCAGTGCAGCTGCTCAACCACCTGGCTGAACATTCCCAGTAGCAGTGGCTCCATGTTTCTCTGAGATGGAGCTCCCAGAGAACACCAAAAACCCCTCTCTCACTGCTACTGCAGTGGTACTGCCCTTGCTGCCCTCAGACTGGGAAAGAAGCAAATACTATGAGTGCTTTAACTGCACCTCCAGCAAGCTGCAGTTGCCCTAAGGAGAAGAGATGAGTCTGTCTCTCCTGTTACCCACCCTCCCTCTTTGTTCACTACCAGGAAGGGCCCTCCTGTCTTGGGCCCACAGTTCAGCTGCCCCATCCCAGTCTGATTGCTGTGATTGATAGCAGCTCCACATCTCTCTGGATTGGAGCCCCAAGAGATAAGTGAAAGGCCCTCTGCCACAACCACTGCTAAAATCTCTTCCCTTGCTGCCCCCAAGCTAGGGAAGGAACATAAAGCCTGAGCTTGCACCAGAGCTACAGTGTGCAGCCTGAGAGTGCCAAGCTGAGATCTGCAGCCAGTAATAAAGTGGGAGAGGAGCCCACACTTATAGAACACTGAGAAAGGGCATGGCTACAATCTTGAAGAAATAAAGAAGAGTCAAGTGGCTGAGCAGGAGGCTACATACTGGCCATTTTGCTTATGTGCCACCTACTGGATCACAGGCCAAATCTTCAGCACCACAAATACTTTGCTAATACACCCACCCTGGGAAACCAACGACAAGAATTCAGCTATAAATAAAGTCCCTGCACAGGGTCTCTGCTTTCTGAAAATATCTAGAAAAGTCTACTGACTGTTCACAAATTACACTTCAGTTAAAGGAACAACAAACAGCCCATACATATAAGAAAGAATGAGTGCAAGAACTCTGGCAACTCAGAAAGCTAGAATGGCTTCTTTCCTCCAAATGACTGCACTTGTATCCCAGCGAGAGTTCTCAACTGGGCTGAAATGGCTGAAATGACAGAAAGAGAATTCAAAATATGGATAAGAATGAAGATAATTGAGATTCAGGAGAAAGTTGACACCAACTCCAAGGAATCTAAGGATTACAATAAAATAGTAGAGGAGCTGATAGATGAAATGGCCAGGAAAAGAAAGAACTAAAATGATCTGATAGAGCTGAAAAACCTATTACAAGAATTTCATAATGCAATCAAAAGTATTAATAGCAGAATAGACAACACTGAAGGAAGAATCTCAGAGTTCAAAGACTCTCTCTCAGAACTAACTCAGTCAGCCAAAAATAAAGAAAAAAGAATGAACAAAACCTCTGAGAATTATGGGATTATAAAAAGCGAGAAAATATTGATTTATTGGCATCCCTAAAAGAGAAAAGGAGAAAGCAAGCAACTTGGAAAGTATATCTCAGGATATCTTCCATGAAAACTTCTCCAATCTTGCTAGAGAGGCCCACATTCAAATTCTGGAAATGCAGAGAATCCCCATGAAATACTACATGAGACCATCCCCAAGACACATAAGCATCAGAGTCTCCAAGGTCAAAATGAGACAAAGGGCAGGTCACCTAAAAGAGAAACTCATTGGGCTAACAGCAGATCTTTCAGCAGAAACTCTGTAAGCCAGGAGAGATCGGGAGTCTACCTTCAGCATTCTTAAAAGAAAAGAATTTCCCATCAAGAATTACATATCCAGCTAAACTAAGCTTCATAAGTAAAGGAGAAATAAGATCCTTTTCAGAGAAGCAAATGCTGAGGGAATTTGTTACCACCAGAGCTGCCTTACAAGAGGTCCTGAAAGGAACACTAAATATGGAAAGAAAAGACCATAATCAGGCACTATAAAAGCACACTTAAGTACACATACCAGTGACACTTTAAGTAACCACACAAACAAGTCTGCTTAATAACCAGCTAATGACACAATGACAGGATCAAATCTGCACATATCAATACTAACCTTGAATATAAATGGACTAAGTGTCCCAATTAAAAGGCTCAAAGTGGCAAGCTTGATAAAGAATCAAGACCCAGTGGTATGCTGCCTTCAAGAGACCATCTCACATGCCATGATACCCATGGGCCCAAAGTAAAGGAATGAAAAAAAATCTACCAAACAAATAAAAAACAGAAACAAGCAAGGGTTGCTCTCCTAATTTCAGGCACAGCAGATTTTAAACCAACAAAGATCAAAAAGACAAGGGCATTACATAATGGTAAAGGGTTCAACTTAACAAGAAGAGCCAACAATCCCAAATATGTACTCATCCACACAGGAGCACCCAGCTTTATAAAATAAGTTCTTAGAGATTTATGAAGAGACTTAAGTTCTCACACAATGAAACTGGGAGATTTCATCACCCAACAGACAGTATCAGACAGACCATCAATGCAAAAAATTCACAATGATATTTAGGAACTGAACTAAGCACTTGACCAAATAGACCTAATAGAACTTTACAGAACTCACCACCACAGAACAACAGAATATACATTCTTCTCATTGCCACATGGTACATACTCTAAAATTGATCACACAATTGGACATAAAATAATCCTCAGCAAAATCATAAAAAAATACTAATCATGCTCTTGGACCATAGTGCAATAAAAATAGAAATCAATGCTAAAAAATCATTCAAAATTATACAATTACATGGAAATTAAACAACTTCCTCCTGAATGACTTTTGGGTAAAGAATGAAATTAAGGCAGAAGTAAGAACATCTTTGACACTAATGAGAACAAAGATACAACATACCAGAGTCTCTAGAACACAACTAAGGCAGTGTTAAGATAGAATGTTATAG
Source organism: Homo sapiens (assembly GCF_000001405.40). NCBI lineage: Eukaryota > Metazoa > Chordata > Mammalia > Primates > Hominidae > Homo > Homo sapiens. The sequence goes on from NC_000012.12 coordinate 72,743,550, forward strand.
CTTTAATGCCCACATCAAAAAGTTAGAAAGGTCTCAAATTAACACCCTAACACAGCTAGAGGAACTGAGAAGCAAGAGCAAACCAAACCCAAAGCTGCAGAAGATAAGAAATAAGCAAAATCAGATCTGAATGGAAGGAAATTGAAACACAAAAAAACCATAAAAAGATCAATGAATCCATGAGTTTCTTACTTAAAAATGTTAATAAGATAGATAGACTGCAAGCTAGAAAGAGAGAAGATCCAAATAAACAATTAGAAATGACAAAAGGGACATTACCACTGACTCCAAATAAAAAAAAAATTATAGTACTATGAACACCTGTTTGCACACAGACTGGAAAATCCAGAAGAAATTGATACATTTCTGAACACATACAACCTCCCAAGACTGAACCAGGACGAAATTCAATCCATGAACAGACCAACTACAAGTTCCAAAATGGAATCAGTAATAAATAGCTTACCAACCAAAAAAAGCCCAGAACCAGATGGATTCACAGCTGAATTCTACCAGATGTATAAAAAAAGCTGGTATCATTCCTACTGAAACTATTCCAAAAAGTTGAGGAGGAGATCCTCCTCCCCAACTCATTCTATAAAACATTATCTTGATACCAAAAGCTGGCAGAGACACAACAAAAAAAGAAAACTTCAGACCAATATCCTTGATGAACATAGATGCAAAAGTCCTGAACAAAATACTTGCAAACCAGATCCATAAGCACATCAAAAATCTTATCCACTGTGATCAAATGGGCTTTATCTCTGGGATGCAAGGTTGGTTTAACATATGTAAATCAATACACATGATTCATCACATAAGGAGAAGTGAGAACAAAATCACATGATTATCTTAAAAGATGCAGAAAAGGCTTTTGATAAAATTCATTTGATTGAAATGAAGTCATTTTAAACATCTCTTCTTGTTAAACATCCTCATTAAACTAGGCACTGAAGGAACATACTTCAAAATAATGAGAGCCATCTATGACAAACTCACAGCCAACATCATATTGAATGTGCAAAAGCTGAAAGCATTTTCCTTGTAAACTAGAACAAGACAAGGATGCCCACTCTCACCACTCCTATTCAATACATTAATAGTACTGGAAGTCCTATACTTGCTTGAAGCAATCAGGCAAGTGAAAGAAATAAAAAGCGTCAAAATAGGGAGAAAAGAAATCAAATTACCCCTTTTTGCAGATGACATGATTCTATATCTAGAAAGTCTGATAGTGTCTGTCTGAAAGCTCCTTGATCTGATAAACAACTTCAGCAGATTTTAAGGATACAAAATCAATGTACAAGAGTCAGTAGCATTCCTATACACCAACAACATCCATGCTGAGAGCCAAATCAGGAATGCAATCCTATTGATAATTGCCACAAAAAGAACAAAATACCTAGGATACAGCTAACCAAGAAGGCGAAACATCTGTATAATGAGAATCACAAAACATTTCTCAAGGAAATCAGATATGATACAAATCGGAAAACATTTCATGCTCATGGATATGAAGAATCAATATTGTTGATTCTTGGCCATACTGCCCAAAGCAATTTACAAATTCAATGCTATTCCTTTCAAATTACCAATGACATTTTTTACAAACTTAAGAAAAAGCTATTTTAAAATTCATATGAAATGAAAAAAGAGTCTGAATAACCAAGGCAATCCTAAACAAAAAGAAGGAAGAAGAATAAAGCATCACATTACCTGACTTCAAACAATATTTCAAGGCTACAGTAACCAAAACAGCAAGATACTGGTATAAAAATAGACACGTATATCACTGGAACAGAATAGAGAACCCAGAAATAATGATGCACACCTACAGCCATCTGATCTATGACAAAGTTGACAAAAATGGGGAAGGGACTCTCTATTCAATAAATGGTGCTGGGATAACTGGCTAGCCATATGCAGAATATTGAAACTGGAATGCCTCCTTATACCATGTACAAAAATAAATTCGAGATGGATTAAAGACTTAAAGGTAAAACCTAAAACTATCAAAACCCTGGAAGATAACCTAGGAAATACCTCTTTGGACATGGGAAATGGCAAAGATTTCATGACGAAGATGCCAAAAGCAATTGCAATGAAAACAAAAATTGACAAGTGGAACCTAATTGAAGTAAAGAGCCTCTGCACAGTAAAAGAAACTATCAATAGAGTAAACATGCAACCTACAGAATGGGAGAAAATATTTGCAAACTATACATCTGACAAAAGTCTACTGTCCAGAATCCGTAAGGAACTTAAATTTCTAAGCAAAAAACAACCCCATTAAAAAGTTGGCAAAGTACATGAACAGACACTTTTTAAAAGAAGACATACAAGCAGCCAAGAAGCATTTGAAAAGACTATCGAACCTCAATAATCATTACAGCAATGCAAATCAAAACCACAGTGAGATACCATCTCACATCAGTCAGAATGGCAGTTACTAAAAAGTCAAAAATTAACAGATGCTGGCAAAAAAAGGGAATGCTTATACACTGCAGACAGGACTATAAATTAGTTCAGCCATTGTGGAAGGCAGTATGGTGATTTCTGAAATAACTTAAAACAGAACTACCATTCAACCCGCAATCCCATTATTGGGTATATACCCAAGGGAATATAAATCATCCTACCATAAAGACACATGCATTCATATATTCATTGAAGTACAATTCATAATAGCAGAGACGTGGAATCAACCTAAAGGGTAGACTGAATAAAGAAAATGTGGTACATATACACTGGGGAATACTTACAGTTATTTAAAAAAAAAAAACAACCAAAAAAAAAGATCATCTCCTCTGCAGCAACATGGATAAAGCTGGAGGCCATTATCCTAAGCAAACTAATGCAGGAACAGAAAACCAGACACCACATGTTCTCACTTATAGGTGGGAGCTAAACAATGGGAACACATGCATGGTCGTAAAGAGGGGAACAACAGATACTGGGGCCTACGTGACAGTGGAATGTGGGAGAAGGGGAAGTATAAAATTACCTATTTGTTTCTATGCTTATACCTGGGTGATGAAATAATCTGTATACCAAACCCCTGTAACACGCAGTTTACTTATATAACAAATCTGCATATGTCCCCTGAACCTAAATTAAGTTATAATTTAAAAATTAAATAAACAAACAAACATAAATAAAGGGCTCACCTGATTAGGTCTTGCCCATCTGTGATAATCTCTTTTTTGATTAGCTCAAAATCAAATTATTAGGGATTTTTTATTTTGTCTACCACAATTATCTTCACCAGTAAGAACTGAACCATGACCCTCATCATTCAATAACTTTTTTTTTTTTTTTTTTTTTGGCTGGCTCTCAGGTGTTAACTTGCGCACATGATGTGGTATCTTTCTTTGAGCTACAGAATCTGGAAACTTTGAGTTTGAGAAAAAATAAATGCACTGGTATGGAAAAAGCTTTCTGATGATGCACTTGCAGGTTTTTAATAGCCTCTCTGTGAAAACTTTATAGCCATGCAAATAGCATTCTTATGTTTTATTTAATTTTTTTAGAATTTGAAGGACAGTTAAAATATATCTCTCTATAAACAAATACTTTAAAAGATTTTTATATACTACAGGTCTAAATATAACCCCAATAACATACCATGTGTTTGTTAGAAATGTATGAAAATAATTATATAAAATTGCATTTAACATTAAGTCATTGCAAGCAATTGACCAGCTGTGTATTTAGGCACTGATCTAGGAAACTTCTGTTTTTCAAATGGAAACAAAATGACACTTTACATAAACACATAAGGATACTGGGAATTTTAATGACTTCTTTTTGGGCACAAAGCCTTTATCTACCATAGAACAGCCATTTCAAATTATATAATATTTTAAATCTTCCACTTCCGTTTATCAAGGAAAGAAGACGGTATTTGACCACCACCACAATAAAACAAAAACTAGGGTTAAAACTGACATTTGAAGCAACAATTTTCACCTACTAGACAACAAACAGAAGATAGTGGTCCATGAAAAAAGGGAAACAAATGAAGTGAGTTCTGCTATTCTCCTGGCTTTTTGCCTGGAGAAGTGTTTCCAGACAACAATGTGGGGAAGTGAGACTCAGAACCATGATTCATGGAGTCACAAGATCAGTAACAGGAGTTGAAAACGACAAAGGCAGCTAAATTTTGCTGGTCAAAGTGTTATAGAGAAGGGAGCTACATAGATAAGGAGCTCAAAATCTATATTGAGGTCCCGTTGGATCTTTGGCTAAGGAGTTGACCTGTACACATGTATAGGGGCATTGCTCATGCTCAGGGAAATAATACTAGTGTGTTGTAAGTCAAACAATTTCCATAGCTTGTAGAAGATTGGTAGAATTTCAAGTTCTAACTAATCAGAGTGGTGTAACCTCACTGGCACAAAACAAGGGAATTCAATAAAGATCACTACAAAATTGTGATGCCTAAGGCTAAAGTAGCCCTAGTAAAAAGACTACTAGAGAACCACTCTAAGAAAACTTAAAAGCAAGCCACAAAAGGATCAGCCTCATCAGCAATTAGCTTTATACCTGTTGTAAAAGAAAATTACACTAGACTGGTTAAATGGGCAAGGAAGACTTTGTTCAAAACTATTGAGATAGGGGACAGAAATAGAACTCAACTTCACTGAAAAGCAGGATAGCTTTTAAGCAGTTGAGTGACCTAGTTGAAAAGTACCAGAAGACATTAGTGGGGAGCTTGGTTAATGTAATTAGATCGCTTATGTTTGCTAATTGGCATTTATGGAAGTGAGGTTCCTACTCTTCAGCAGAGACTGGGATAGAGGGGTCCTGTCTTCTTGATGATCACATTTCAAAGAGATGGTCCCAGGTCCTTGAGAAAGAGGGTTCTGGATTGTGGAAGATTTGCATCTCAAAGGGGCAGAGAAACAATTTACAATTCCAAGTGTTTTGAAGTAAATGCTTTAGCAAACAGGAGGACAGAGACCTATAGTCAGGAAGAGGTCTATCTAAAATTTAGTCAAGCAGAAAGGAATGTTAAAGCAGTCTTGGTTAGTTGCTCCACAAATTATCATATTCTGTAAAGAAAAACTAGATGGCTCTATGGATTTCAGACTGGACTTACACAATTGTATAAGCCAATTTATTAAAATAAATCTCTCTATGTATGTATGTATATGCATATGTATATGTGTGTGTATGCATCTATATATGTATATATATTTCCTATTGCTCCTGTTTCTCTGGTAGTATCTGACTGAAACAGAGGGTATCCCAGTGCCGTGGTTGTTCATGATGGACTCATGCACATTTTCCACACCATTTTCCTGATAGTTTGAGTAGTGTATTAAAGATAGCTGCAGCTTTTGGGTCATTCTTTTCATCAAGAGGTAGTTTATTTGGGCTTTATTTCCCTTCTCCTTGAATTTGGTTTTAACCTGTGACAGCTTAACTAACAGAAGGTGATTGAAGCAACACTTTGACAGTTCTAGCCTAGCATTTAGGCAGACTCTCAGCTTTTGCTTTAACCATCTTGAATCATTTCCTTTTGGGACACTCCCTTTGTAACACAGGCACCATGCTATGAGAAGCCCAAGTGACATAGAAAGATCACGTATAAGTGAACTGGTCAGCAACCCCAGATGAGCAACAAGTCAATAGCCATATTAAGTAAGACATTCTTGTCTAAGTCATGCCCTCATTGACTACTGACCTTGCCCACATCACATTGCACAGAAATCCAGCCAGCTATCTAGTCATTGCACCAAATCATGAGAGGTGATTAAAATAGTTATTTTAAGTCACTATACCACTCAGTTCTGGAGTGTGGTTTGTTATCCAGAAGTTAATAAACAGATCATTGGGCCGGGCATGGTGGCTCACGCCTGTAATCCCAGCAATTTGGGAGGCTGAGGTAGGTGGATCACCTGAGGTCAGGAGTTCAAGACCAGCCTGACCACCATGGTGAAACCCCGTCTCTACTAAAAATACAGAAATTAGCCAGGTATGGTGGCGTTTGCTTGTAATCCCAGCTACTCAGGAGGCTTAGACAGGAGAATCACTTGAACCCGGGGGCGGAGGTTGCAGTGAGCGGAGACTGCACCACTGCACTCTATCCTGGGTGATAGAGCGAGGCTCCATCTCAAAATAAATAAATAAATAAAAATAAACATCATTTGGATGTTATTGTGATAGAATATGTTTGGCCGACTTCTTTAATATGTTTTTATTTGAGGACAGCCATAAACTGGCACAATTCAATACTTCCACAGTTCAATGATACAGTCTTCTAAATATAGCATCTTAGTTATACTCATAATAATTGAAATGATATTTTAGTCCATCCCACTTCAGCAAAGGAAGTGTTTCTGTTTCTTGAAAAACGGACACAAAGAGACTAGAGGATGATGTGAATCATTATCTCTTTCTCTCTCTATATATATATCTCTATCTGTCTATCTCTCTCTCTGTCTCTCTCTCTCTATGTATATATCCATCTATCTGTATTTTTAGTAAGTCATTGTGGTGGATATTTGTTATTTTTGCATGCTCTGAAGCTTTTCCTTTGAAAAGTTATCCTTCTCCATCTGGTGGGTAAAAATAAAGCACACTTAGAAAAAATGTTGAGACAGTGAGAAAGAGCAGTGAAAGAGAGAGTGAGAGAGAGGGAGACCTAAGAGTAACAAAAGTTCCTGGTTCCAGCTCTGTGAGGGTAAAATTTTTAATTTAAAGAGCCCACGAATTATAATATCATTTTAGCTTAATCTAGTTTGAGTTATGTTTCTGTCATATTCAAGCAAAATAGTAGATTATAAAGTGCCGTTCAGGTCTAAGACCACCACTAGGAACCTTTGAGAATCTCCTTCTCTGTTTGATCTTCCTTCTTCTCCTTTCTAAACCCATCAGTCCTGTTCTAATCCTCTTTGTCCACCCCTAACTTTCCCTTCTGTGTAGTATGTGTTTAGTTAAGGTAAAGCTAACTGCTGTAAAAACAAATCCCAAATTTCCAGTGACTTAACACAATAAAAATTTCTGTCTGACACAAACTACAATCTGGTGAGGGCAATCTGAATCAGTACTCAGGGACCTTAGATGCTTGCTGCCTCGGAGTTTTCTGTATCTGGCCACTGGAAGGGAAACTGAAAGACGTATATGTGGAAGATTTTATTTGTCCAAACATAAAGTGGCATTTCTCAGTTCACTCATATTCCTTTAGCTAGGATTTAATGGCATGAGCTTCAAAGTAGGCGTGTAGATATGATCCAGCTGCTTGCCCAGGAAAATGATAAAAAGAATATGGGTAGATAGCAGCCTTTTCCATACCAGGGTACTGGTTCTACACTTAAAAAAAAGGGTGGGTGTATGTAGACTCTAAAAAAATAGCACGAATTCATGTTACAATAACAATCATGGGAAATAAAAAAGTTTCCTATTTTTTTTTAAAATTTACTCAGTGACTTGCACTTCATTGTGACAACCCATTCTCTAGTTAGTAGGAAAAAAATAACTGTATGTCTAATTGATCTAATAATTCAAACCGTCCCTTGTGGTAAAAGTTAGTCTTTCTTAGATACAATTTTTTAGTGTCTCATATGCTAAAGACTCCCTCTTCGTCTGCTTCTCTCCTTCAGGTGAGATCTAGTACATGGGTGGAAGAGTGTAGGTTATAGATGATCTTAAGTTAGAAAAGGAAAACTCTTCTTTTTTCTTTGGGCCTAGTTTTCTCTGGCTGCTGAAGCAAACTCATGTGCAACTGGATAATCAGGGCTGTGATTGCCTCTGTTGCTCAAGTCCGTAGCTGGTGAACCCATCATTATTATTTATTATTATTGATCATCCCCTCTGTGGCACTGCTTCACTTTGGTTTTTGCTGGTCGTAGGACCATGGGCATCTGCCATATTCTCCATCTGTTGCACTGGCCTGGAGATCCTCTCACAGACTTGACAGGGGAAGGGGAGCACTTTTCTCCTCATAATGCATACCTTTGCAGGCCACTGACTCTCAACTTTTCCATATGACATGGGAACCAAGGATGGCTTGGGAATGTAGTCACTTAGGGTCTTCTGTTCCACCAGTTACCTTGATATGTCAATGCCTGAAACTGTGACAGGCATTTGGGGAGAGAGTCTTCTCCTTGGACTCTAATCAGGAAATGCAACACTCTCCTCTTCCCTGGTGTGCTTAGAGACAGTACAACTCTACTTGTCTCTTTCTTGCATTCCATTTTTCTTCTTTCCTCAGTGTCCCAGGGGTAAAAGAACAATTCTTTTAATTCCCTGATATCATATGAGCTGTATATCAAAAAAGTCATCTGGATTTCTGAGGTAGGTAAAATATTATTTTTATGCTGGAGGAACTCTATATTCTCTGTATTTCAGCTTGTGCATCAAGGTAAAGGGGGAACTAAAACAATCCAGTAAATACTCTCTCAAGTATATAGCCTAGATGGAAACACTATCATCTCAGTGCATAGCCCTGAGTTACACATCTGAAGCCAAATATTACACTGTTCCTTCACCAAGAATCCTTTCTATGTCAAATCCCAAATTTCTTGTCATTCTCCATAGCACTGTTCATCTGCATGCCGTAGTAGATGAAGGCTTTGGGTGGACCCATTGAAAGTCTTGTGCTCAAGAAGACAAAGGACACAATTCATGGTTAGTATTCAAAATGTTGCTCCCACCACAAACATCTTCATATTCTTCTAAGTAGAATGTCTACCAGACATGCTATCTTTTCTCCAGCAAACAGAGTGAACAACAATCCTCGTTTGCCTGAGAATTAGGATTTCTTTCTTAGGATGTGGAATTTTTAGTGCTGAAACTAGGCTAGTCCTGAATAAACTGGATAGTTGTTGACCCCACCTGCAAAGTTGAGCAACTTTGAGGATAATATCGTTGTGGTAATGTGCTGACAAAGTCTCTATGGCTTCATAATGCCTAACAAAATCTTCTGTTTCTATAGAGGTGAAAGGTGTTTCTACAGAGGTATACAGGTTAGAGATAAAATTACAGTAAGGGAGTGTCAAGGTCCTCCCATAGTTAATTTGTTTCTTATTGGTAAATATTTTAATCACTGACCTCCTAGCCAATATCACAATGGCTAATTCCTGTGGCATTGTTAGATACAGCTCATTCTTTATGTGACCAGACTTTTGTCCAATATATTGCTAGGTTAGGTTTTACATGTTTTAAAATAGCTGTTCTATGCCCATTTAGTAACACATATTTACTATTGTGATTTACTTCTAAAATAATTACTCTTACAGTGGATTTGCATATTTTAGTAATGTTTGCGTTTATAATTGTTCTAATAAGGTTTGTACTACTTTCATTATAATTGGTTTATGGTCCAATAAATGATAGATTAAGGTAGAGGACAATCCAATAGTTTAAATTTAGATATTTATATTGTCCCTAAATATTGCAACAGGGTCTTTCTTACCTTAAGGAGTAAGTACAGTGCTATGACCTAAATATGTAATCATTTTAATATTTGGTCATATGCTTTAGTCCTTCTCTCTGTCTCTCTCTCTTTGGGTGTGTGTGTTTGTTTGCATGCATGTTCACCTGTCTGTCTGTCTCTGTTTGCTTCCTATTTTTAAACTGAAGCCAGTTTAAAAAGCTGAATAGCTTAGCTGGTATCAAAATAGTATGGGTACCATGTTAAAGCTTCACTACAGACCTAAGGAATCAGAATATGTAACGTGTAGGATAATTTTGATAAGCCCTTTATGCACCTTAGTGTTTGAGGAACACTGGTCTATCGTACAAGTAAGACTCATTGTACATCTGGTAGCAGCTGCAGTGTCTGCCTATGTGTGTTAGGCTAATTATATGAGCTCTTTGATACATAGTTTATTCCTCTTCTATGTGGAAATAAAACCTGCTCTGTAAAGTCAATGAAGGCTGCATAAGTAGAACAAAGTAGTTTCACAGACCACAAATTCAAGTGTGTAAAAAAGTAACATTATTTTTCCACACCTGAAGTTAATTTCTGTCTTGCTCCCCATTTCCATCCAGTGTCAGCATCTGTAATCTATTCATTGTAGGGAAACTTAAACATGTTGTAATTATTTCAAACTCAAATGTAGAAATGTTTTCCCTTACTCTCCTTATCTCTGTAGTTGATTCTATGCCTCAAAGCTTATGAAAAACGTCTGTATTTTTGGAAGGGAGAAAACTCCACTTGTTGGTTTTAATCTGTTCTGTACTCGTATCCAGAGAGATGCACAGCTGTTTGGCTTCCAATTTCACTGGCATTTGTTGCAGTGGCATTTTGCCACACAGTCCAAGCTACTGTTTCTGGATGCGTATCTTCATTGAGTTAAAGATCATCTTCCCAAGTGAATTTTATGTCATTCTCCTAGCTTCAGGTAAGGTTTGATTGTTTGACTGAATATCTCTGAGACTGAGGGTCCTCATCAGATATTGTCTGCCACTGAAATCCCAGGAGCCATCGTGATTCTTTTTTTCTTTTTTTCTTTTTCCGAGACGGAGTCTTGCACTGTCGCCCAGGCTGGAATGCAGTAGTGCGATCTTGGCTCACTGCAAGCTCCACCTCCCCTCGGCCTTCTGAGTAGCTGGGACTACAGGTGCCCGCCACTACGCCTGGCTAATGTTTTTGTATTTTTAGTAGAGACGGGATTTCACCGTGTTAGCCGAGATGGTCTCGATCTCCTGACCTCGTGACCCGCCCGCCTCGGCCTCCCAAATGCTGGGATTACAGGCATGAGCCACTGCGCCCGGCCGCCATTGTGATTCTTCTGGTCATTGCTTCACTGTGACCTGTGTCTCATCTGCAGTACCCTCAAAGCTCAGGGGGGACGTGGACTTCAAATGCCCTCTACCTTCATTTTCCACAATTTGAAAAGACACGTCTACCTCAGTCTCACTGCTTCCAATATCAACAGCCAAGGTTTTTTTTTTTTTCCATCCAACTCTCTTTTTACTCCCCAGCTCACAGCCTCTTAGAAAAATTGGAGTGGTGGTCTGTGGAGAGGGTGCCAGTGAAATGTACAAACTTTCCCCTAGATTGAGAGTTTTTCAAAGCTTAACAGGCAATGATTGATCATGAGTTCTCCACATGTTTGAATGATAACCCCACTTGGAGCCAGGGTGGTCTCATTTCTCAACCCCAATGAGAAAAACGTGTTAGGCTAATATCATATGAAGTCTAAAGGAGGATTTCAGAGAAATCAAAACTATTTCTGCACATGTAAAGAACTAATTGATAACTCATAATAGCTACAATAGTATTTTTAACAAAAAAACTTGAGTGTCATTATTCATCAGCTCTATGCAAAACCCTTTATATGTGTAATCTCATTTAAAACTCACAATATCACCATGAGGTATGAATTATTATCTTCATTTTACTGATAAGGAAACAGGCTTAGGGAGATTAAATAATTTACTCAGGGACACATAGCCAGCAAGTTGGAACTAAGTCTCAACTCCATTCTATTTTACAGTCTAGCACTTTTTCTTAACTATATCATCATCCCATTACTACCTTTCCTGTTTGTTCTCCTGCTCTAAGGCTATCTTACACACATAACTTTTAACATGATAGGGAGTGACAGGGATTAGAAAAGGAATGAACTTGACATGTTTGTGTGTCAGTAACGCCAGTCATATATAAAAATAGAGTTTTTGTGAAAACATAATAAAACAATAACTTAAAAGATATATACACATGAAAGGCCTTATTAAATTTTGATCATTGAAAGCAAAAATGGTCCAAAAATTCTCATTTTTTGCATCCATAATACTTCTGGATTTTCCACATGAGATTTCTTATCATATATAGTTTCATATTTTCCTTCAGCCAAATTTGATAATCAATCTGTTACTTTTAGATCCCTTTCTACGTTAAATGTCAGCTCTTAAACAAAAATCCTGTATCTTGATCAAGATACATTTCAGTGGAACGTTAGTTCATTCATCCTGTCTCTTGGAATTTGTCAATTTGAATTTTAAGAATGTTAGGCTTTTTCCTGGCTACTTGTCACTGTGGAAGACTTAACTGTTTCTCTACAGCTCTAATTTACTTTGTCTTCTTTTAACTTTGTTTAGGCCTTAGTATTATTTGGTAAATGATCAGTGAAAATCTGAGTTTAATAATAAAATAGCAGAGGTGTCTTGGTATAGGTCTGTGGGAAGCTTCATATATTACAGCATGTCTTACTCTAGAAACCATTTTTTTTTTCATCCCTGGATTCACCAACATTAAAAACAACTCTCTGAGGTTTTACTCGGAAAAATCTAATAACATAAACCAGGAAAAGAAATACCACCACTGATCATCAGAGAAATGCAAATCAAAACCACAATGAGATGCCATCTTACTCCAGTCCAAATGGAAATTATTAAAAAGTCAGGAAACTATAGATGCTGGCCGTGGAGAAATAGAAACATTTACACTGTTGGCAGGAATGTAAATTAGTTCAACCGTTGTGGAAGACAGCGTGGCGATTCCTCAAGGATCTAGATCCAGAAATACCATTTGACCCAGCAATCCCATTACTGGGTATATACCCAAAGGAATATAAATCATTCTACTGTAAAGACACATGCACACGTATGTTTATTACAGCACTATTTACAATAGCAACGACATGGAACCAACCCAAATGCCCTTCAGTGATAGACTGGATAAAGAAAATGGGGTACATATAAACCATGGGATACTATGCAGCCATAAAAAGGAATGAGATCATGTCCTTTGCAGGGGCATGGATGAAACTGGAAGCCATTATTGTCAGCAAACTAACACAGGAAGAAAAAACCAAATATCACATAAGTGGGAGTTGAACAATGAGAACACATGGACACAGAGAGGGGAACAATGCACATCAGGGTCTGTTGTGGGGTGGGGGCTGAAGGGAGGGAACTTAGAGGATGGGTCAATAGGTGCAGCAAACCACCATGGCACAGGTATTCCTATGTAACAAACCTGCACATTCTGCATATGTATCCCTTTTGTTTTAAAAGAAGAAACAGAAATAAAATATTTCTAGAAGTTTCCAATATTTGTGTGATGATAATGTAAAATCATTTTAAGTATGTATTTTTATACAAAAAATTTGTTGATTAAAACACACCAATATAGTTTTGAGTAGGGCTTCAAGATGGCTGTCTAGAGGTATCTGACATTCATCTCCTCCACAAAGAGGAACTAACAAACTGAGTAGATAATCAGACTTTGAATGGGTCATCTAAGAGAGAGAACTGACATTCAACAGGAAAGTGACAGGAAACACCTCAGGCAAGGAAGGAGAGTAAAGTGAAGCAGCCTCCTTGTCCAGTATTGACTGGCAGTCTGGAGAGGCTCCTCATTGTGGGGAAAGGATAAATGACAGATCCCCAGTGATCCATATTCCCACTGCAAATGCCTGTAATCCTAGCCATGGGAGAGCCTCTCAACCCACAGGGGCACTAAAACTAATATAGTGAACTGCCTGGGGTCCGTGTGACACTATTGCTCCAGAGAGGGAGCTCATGCTGGGTCCCACACAACCACAGAGACCTAAGCAGTTACAGCACAGTGCCATTTTTGAGAGCACAGCCCCCACCAGATTGCATCCTGCCCTAGGGCCCAACATCCCCTACATCACAACATCACTGGAGCTGCATTGACATCCTCTGCCTGAGCTGCTACTGCTGCTGACTGCTGCTGCCAGGGCTGAGGGTTACTGGCAATGACCTCACTGTCCCCAGCAACTGGACTGTTGTGCATCTGCACATGCTATGAGGACAAGAGCCCCCACCTGCAGCCACTACTGCTGCCGGGATGGAAGCACAAGCCACTGACAGTGACCCCACCACCTCTAGCAGTGGGGCTTCCATGCATCTGCACTTGCCCTGAAAAGAAGCTCCCTTACTCACAGCTGCTACTGTTGCTAGCTGCTGCCACTGAGGCTGAAGTGCCAGCCACTGGCAGGAGCCACTGGCAGCAACCTTGCTACCCACAGCAGCAGGATTGCCATGCATTCACAAGTGCCCTGAGAACAAACTCTCCCCACTGGAGCTGCTGCCTAGAGCTGAAACACATGCTCCCTAGCTGATATGGCTTAGCTGTGTCCCCACCCAAATCTCATCTTGAATTGTAGCTCCCATAATCTCCATGTGTTTGGGAGAAACCCAGTGGGAGGTAGTTGAATCACCGGGCTGGGTTTTCCCATGTTGTTGTGATAGTGAATAAGTCTCATGAGATCTGATAGTTTTATAAAGGGCAGTTCCCCTGCACATGCTCTCTTGCCTGCCACTATATACGATGTGCCTTTCCTTTCCTTTCACCTTCCGCTATGTTTGTGAGGCCTTCCCAGCCACGTGGAACAGTGAATCCATTAAGCCTCTTTTTTTTTTATAAGTTACCCAGTCTCGGGTATGTCTTCATAACAGTATGAAAATGGAATAATATGCCAGCCACCTGCCTATGGCTGTTGCCACTGACAATAACCTCAACTCCCCCTCCCCAGCAGCAGGGCTATAGCACACTGGCATGTACCCTGAAGCAGGCTCATCCAACTGAATGTGTCAACTACAAGCCTGGAGACTAGCTCTCTAAGACCATTGCAGCCACCACTAACACTATCATGGATCTCTTGGGAGCCAGAGGGTTATTCCACCACTACTACTGCCATTACCCACAACACACTGCCTGACAAGGGGCCTGAGGACCCACCCATCCATAGCCCACAACTGCCACTGCTGTAAGCCACTTGGAGGACCATAAATCGACTGACCTGGACATGCTAACACTGGTGCCAGTGTATATCTCCCTGTAGCCCAAGGACAGGCAGGTTTGATCCACTGCTGCCACCACTGGGGCCTGAGGACTAGCCCACCTGGCATCCCTGTCCTCAGCAAAACTTCACCACAGCTTTCACTAACAATTGTACCCTAAGCCTCTGAGGAGATCACAGACACCACTGATGCTGTTTATAGCTTAAGAAAGTATATTCACACTATGCTGCTTCATGTACCCAGAATCAAAGGCAAGGTGCCCCTACACCATCAATATTATCAATACATCTTTAGGAAAAATCCTCATCTACAAAAGCAAAGCCAAAACATTGGAAGAAGAATTAATCACATCAGATATCAATATCAACATAAGAACACAAGAAACATGGAAAAACAAAGAAATATGATACCTCTGAAGGAACACAATAATTCTCAAGCAATAGGCTTTAATAAGAAATTTATGAAATGCCAGAAAAGAGGTTTAAATAACAGTATTCAAGAAGCTCAGTGAAATACAAGAGAACACAGATAAACAATATGAAGAAATGAGAAGAAAGATAGAGTATATGAATGAAAAATGTACTGAGTAGATAGAGATCATAAAATAAAACCTAACAGAAATCCTGAAACTGAAGAATTCATTGAATAAAATAAAAAAATACAACTGAGAACTTCAATAATAGACTAGATCAAGATAAAGAAAGAATTTCAGAACTTGAAGATAGGCCTTTTAAAATAAACCAGTCAGGCAAAAATAAAGAAAAAAGAATAAAAGGGATGACGAAAGCCTCCATGATATATGGCACACCATAAAGCAACCAAATATTTGAATATTAGGTGTTGCAGAAACAAAAGGCCAAAGGGATAAAAAACCTATTTAATTAAATAATAGCTGGAAATAATTTCACATGTCTACCAAGAAATTTTGATATCCAGACACAGGAAACTCTCAGAGATTCCCAAAAAGTTACAACACAAAAGATCTCCAAGGCACATTCTAGTCAAACTGTCAAAAGTAAAAAAACAAAAGATATAATTCTAAAAACAACAGGAAAAAAGTGTCTAGTCACTTACAAGGGAACCCCCATCAGACTAACAGTGGATTTCTCAGCAGCAACTATATGGGCCAGGAGAGAACGCGATGATATATTCAAAGTGCTGATAGAAGAAATACTGCCAGTCAAGGATATACCCAGGAAAGTAAGTTATTATTCATAAATGGAGAAATAAAGTATTTTCCAGACAAGCAAAAGCATACAGAATTCATCACTATGAGACCAGCTTTATAAGAAATGCTTAATAGAGTCCTATACATGGAAATGAAAGGATGATACCTACCATCAGGAAAGTATAAAACACACTGGTAGAGCAAACACATGAATAAGAAAGAGAAAGAACTCATATATTACTACTACAGAAAGTCATCAACCAAAACTATAAAAAATAAGAGAGGATGAGGCTGGGCATGGTGGCTTATGCCTGTAATCCCAGCACTTTTGGAGGCCAAGGCAGGCGGATCACAAGGTCAGGAGATTGAGACCATCCTGGCCAACATGGTGCAACCCAGTCTCTACTAAAAATACAAAAAAAAAAAAAAAAGCTGAGCGTGGTGGCAAGGGCCTGTAATCCCAGCTACTTGGGAGGCTGAGGCAGGAGAATCTTTTGAACCTAGGAAGCGAAGGTTGCAGTGAAAAAAAAAAAAAAAAAAAAAAAAGAGAATGAAAGGAACAAAGGATATACACAACAACCAGAAAATAATTTAGTAAAATGACAGGAAAAAGCCCTCACATATCAGTAATAACCTGGAATGTAAGTGGATTAAACTTTCCACTTAAATATATATAGACTAAGTGGCAAAAAAAAAAAATCGACTGAGTTATGTACTGCCTACGAGAAATTCATCTCACCTCTAAGACACATATAGACTGAAAATAAAGAGATGAAAATAGATATTCCATGCAAACAGAAACAAAAATTAAGCTGGAGTAGCTATACTTATATCAGATAAAATAGACTTTAAGACAAAAACAGTAAAAACAGACAGAGAAGGTCATTACGTAATGATAAAGGCATCAATTCAACAAGAGTATAACAATTCTAAACCTATATGTATCCAACACTGGAACACTGAGATATTTAAGCAAATATTATCAGATCTAAAGGGAGAAATAAACTCCAATACGATAATAATTGGAGACTTCAATACCTCACTCTTAGCATTAGACAGATCATCTACACAGAAAATAAACAAAGGAACATTGGATTTAAACTGTACTTTACACCAAATGGACTTAATACACATTGATGAAACATTTTATTCAACAGTTGCTGAATACACATTCTTAACAGTATATGAAACTTTCTCCAGAATAGACCATATATTAGGCCACAAAATAACCCTTAACAAATTAAAAAAAAATCATATCAAGTGTTTTCATGGACCATGATGATATAAAACTAGTACTCAATAACGAGAAGAATTTTGAAAACTATAAAAATACATGGAAATTAACCAACATGCTCCTGAATGACCACTGAGTCAGAAAAGAATTTAAGAAGAAAATTTAAAAATTCCTGGAAACAAATGAAAATTGAAACACAACATACCACAATCTGAAATACAGCAAAAGCAGTGCTATGATGGAAGTTTATGGCAATAAATACCTACATCAAAAGTAGAAATATTTTAAATCCATAATCTAACAATGTACCTCAAAGACCTAGAAAAGCAAGAACAAACCAAATACAAAACTAGTAGAAGCAAAAAAAAAAATAAAAACAGATCAGAGCAGAACTAAATGAACTATGCACTAAAAATAAAATACAAAGTATTAATGAAACAAAAAGTTGGATTTTTGAAGATAAAATCAATAAACCACTAGCTAGACTAACCAAGAAAAAAAGGGAGAAGACCCAAATTAACAAAATTAGAAGTGAAAAAGAAGACGTTAAAACTGATACCACAGAAAAATAAATGATAGAGACTATTATGAACAACTATACACGAACAAACTGGAAAGCCTAAAGGAAATAGATATTTTGGAAACATATAACCTACCAAGATTGACTTAGAAAGAGATAGAAAAAAATCTGAATAGAGCAATAATAAATAATGAAATTGAATCAGTGATAAAAATTCTCCTGATAAAAGATAAGCCTAGGACCAGATGACTTCACTGCAGAATTCTACCAAACTTACAAAGAATACCTAACATCAATTCTCCTCAAACTGTTCCAAAATCTTGGAGAGAAGAAAATTCTCCTTAACTCATTCTATGAGGCTAGTATTACTCTGATGCCCAAACCAGACAAAATATAACAACAACAACAACAACAAAAAACTACCAGCCAATATCTCTGATGAACATAGATTTTTAAAATCCTCAACCAAAAACTAGCAAACTGAATTCAAAAACACATGAAAAAGATGATACATCATGATCAAGTGGGATTTATCTCAGAGATACAAAGATGGTTAAAACATTGAATGATAAAAACTTAACAAAGTAGGCATAGAAATAAAGTACCTGAACATAATAAAGGCCATATATGACAAACCTACAGTTTTCATCATACTGAATGAAGAAAAGCAGAAAGCCTTTCTTCTAAGAACTGCAACAAGACAAAGATGTCAACTTTCATTACTCCCGTTCAACATAGTACTGGAAGTCCTGGACAGAGCTATTAGAAAATAAAAATAAATCAAAGGCTTCTAAATTGGAAAAGAGAAAGTTAAATTGTCCCTCTTTGTATATGACCTGATCTTATATCTAGAAAAATCTAAAGGCTTGACAACAACAACAAAACACCCTTTTATATCCAATCAATAAATTTAACAAAGTTGCAGATACAAAATCTACATACAAAAATCAGGAGTATTTCTACTCACCAATAATGAAATAGTTGAAAAAAAATCAAGAAGACAATACCATATATATATAACAAAATAAGTTACCTAGAAATAAATTTAACCATGTAGTTAAAAGAGTTCCACAAAAAAAGAAAAATAAAACCTACAAAACTCTGATGAAAGAAATTGAGGAGGATACAA
Organism: Homo sapiens; assembly: GCF_000001405.40. NCBI lineage: Eukaryota > Metazoa > Chordata > Mammalia > Primates > Hominidae > Homo > Homo sapiens. Next base: position 72,762,331 of record NC_000012.12, read on the forward strand.
ACAAATGAAATACATCTCATTTTCATAGATCAGAATAATTATTGTTAAATGGCCATGCTACCCAAAGCAATCTATGTACTTACTGCACTCTATAGTGACATACCAATGTCATTTTTCACAAAAATAGAAACGTTTAAAATTCATATGGAACCACAATAGCCCAAAGAACAAAACTGTAGACATCAAACTACCTGACTTCAGAATATATTATAAGGATACAGTAACCAAAACAGCATGGTATTGGTATAAAAACAGAAATATAGACCAATGGAACAAAATAGCAAACTCAGAAATAAATTCATGTATTTACAGACAATTAATTTTTGACATATGTGCCAAGAACATACATTGAGGAAAGGACACCCTTTTCAATAAATAGTGCTTTGAAACTATATATAAATATGCAGACAAATGAAAGTGAACCCCTATCTCTTATATACAAAAAATAAATTTAAGGTGGATTAAAGACCTAAACACAAGATCAGAAACTATTAAACTACCAGAGGAAAACATAGGGGAAACGATTTAAAACACTGGCAAAAATTTTATTGTTAAGACCTCAGAAGTGTGAGTAATAAAAACAGAAATAGACAAATGAGATAATGTTAAACTAAAGACTCCTGCATGGCAAAGGAAACAATCAATAGAGTGAAAAAACAATCTGTTGAATGGAAGAAAATATTTGCAAACTATTCCCCCGATATGTGACAAGAGACTAATATAAAGAACATATAAGAAACTCAAACAATGCAACAATTAAAATCATTCAAAATAAGCAATGAACATGAATAGACAATTATCAAAAGTGGCCATACAAATGGCAGACAG